>NC_000003.12:197933560-198084559 GCF_000001405.40 Homo sapiens
AATAAAATAATGAATATTTATGTACGTAACACCAAATTTAAATATTTTACCATGGTAGAGACTTGGTTTTTTTTAAAGATTACATGTGTCAGATATATCTGAAGTCTCTAGTCCCAGTCCCCTCAATCTTCCCCAGAGATAAACACTCTTCTGAATTTGGTGATTATTATTCTCTAGCATGTTGTGATACTTTTATTATGTGTTTGTGTGTTTTATTTAAATAATACATGTAGTTTTACATGTTATTATTTTTATTTCATTTTTTTTTGAGATGGAGACTCGCTCTGTTACCCAGGCTGGAGTGTGGTGGTGTGATCTTGGCTCACTGCAACCTCTGCCTCCTGGGTTCAAGCGACTCTCCCGCCTTAGCCTCCTGAGTGGCTGGGAGTACAGGCATGGGCCACCTCACCCAGCTAAAAAAAAAAAAAAAAAAAGAAGTTTTCTTTAATTTCTAGTTTGCTAAGAGGTTTTTAGTGTTGATTTTTATATGTTGAATTTTGCCAAATGCCTTTTCTGCATCTATTGATCTTTCTATTTATTTATTTTTTTACATTTTCTAATGCTAAACTATTTTTGCATTCCTGGGATAATTCCAATTTTCATTATGATGTTCATTCTGGGTCTTTTTTTTTTTTTTTTTGAGACAAGAGTGTCGTTCTTGTTGCCCAGGCTGGAGTGCAGTGGCACGATCTCGGCTCACTGCAACCTGCACCTCCCAGGTTCAAGCGATTCTCCTGTCTCAGCCTCCCGAGGAGCTGGGATTACAGGCACGTGCCACCACACCCAGCTAACTTCTGTATTTTTAGTAGAGACAGGGTTTCACCATGTTGACCAGGCTGGTGTGAAACTCCTGACCTCAAGTGATCTGCCCACCTCGGCCTCCCAAAGTGCTGGGATTACAGGCGTGAGCCACGGCGCCCGGCCAAACGTTCACATTTTCGAGATGAGTAAACCAGGTTCAGGAAACATTCACATTTTTGAGATGAGTAAACCAGGTTCAGGAAAGTTAAGTGACTTGCCCGTGGTCACATACCTAGTTTGAGAAAGAGCTGGAGACATATAGCCCAGGTTTCCTAACGCGTAGTCCGCTGTTCTTCATGATCCTCTCCTAAGTGGAGCTGTTTAGGCCGGGCACAAGAGCTCACACCTGTAATCCCAGCATTTTGAGGGGCCGAGGCAGGAGGATCGCTTGAGTCCAGGATTTCAAGACCAGTCTGGGCAACATAGTGAGACCCCCTCCCCCCACCCCATCTCACAAAAATTAAAAAAAAAAAAAAGGCTGGTCATGGTGGCACGTGCCTGTAGTCCCTGCCACTTGGGAGGCTGAGGTGGGAGGGTCGTTTGAGGCTGTAGTGAGTCATGTTTGTGCCACTGCACTCCTGCCTGAGTGACAGAGTGAGACCCTGTCTCAAAATAATGATAATAATAAAATAAAAATTAAAAATGGCTATTTAATGTCTTGACACAGTTGGCAAGAATTATAGTTACTATTTTACATAACAACTCAAGGGAGAGGGAGATTTAGAGAATAGCCAGTTTTAGCTGGTATGGTAAGGAAGTCCCCTTTGCTTTAATCTTTCCAAGAAAAGTAATTTTGTGGCCGGGCGCAGTGGCTCATGCCTGTAATCCCAGCACTTTGGGAGACTGAGGCGGGCGGATCACCTGAGGTCGGGAGTTCGAGATCAGCCTGGCTAACATGGTGAAACCCTGTCTCTACTAAAAATACAAAATTAACCAGGCGTGGTGACGCACGCCAGTAATCCCAGCTACTCGGGAGGCTCAGGCAAGAGAATCGCTTGAACCCAGGAGGCGGAGGTTGCGTGAGCCGGGATTGCGCCACTGCACTCCAGTATGGGCGACAGAACGAGACTCTGTCTCCAAAAAAAAAAAAAGAAAAGAAAAGTAAATTTGTGATTTTTAAAATTGTTAATTAATTAATTAGAGACAGGGTCTCGCCCTGTCACTCAGGCTGGAATGCAGTGGCATGATCGTAACTCACTGTAACCTCAACCTCCCCGGCTTGAGTGGTCCTCCCCCGCCTCAGCCTCCTCAGTAGCTAGGACTAAAGCACGCCACCACGCCCAGCTAATTTTTTTCATTTTTGTGGAGATGAGGTCTCGCTATGTTGCCCAGGCTGGTCTTGAACTCCTAGCTTCAAGCACTCCTCCCACTTCAGCCTCCCAAAGTGCTGGGATCACAGGTGTGAGCCACCGCCTGCAGCCAGGAAAGTAACTTCAACATGACCATTCACGTTATAGTCTCTGTTTCTGCTTTCTTCAGCCCTTTCTGCCTGTAAAGCCAACCTCCTCTGCCCAGGTCATCAGAACAGTACTTCTACTTCATAGAATGAGGTGTTGCCTGATTTAGAATTGCAAATAAAAGCCAATTAAGATGTTTAGATTTGTGGCCTGGCGCGGTGGCTCACGTCTGTAATCCCAGCACTTTGGGAGGCTGAGACGGGCGGATCACCTGAGGTCAGGAGTTCAAGACCTGCTCGGGAGGCTGAAGCAGGAGAATCACTTGAACTCAGGAGGCGGAGGTTGCAGTGAGCCAGGATTGTACCATTGTACTCCAGCCTGGGCGACAGAGTAAGACTCTGTCTCAAAAAAAGAAAAAAAAAGATATTTAGATTTGTTGTAATTTTGTCTTTTGACAGTAGTATGTTATGATAAAATAATTATTAATTCAATGCAATAAGACAATAATGCATAAAGATGAGTACAGCAAGGAAAGCATACACAAGCTTCCTACAAATTCCCATTTTAAATTCATAAAGAGTTGTAGTTTTTTTGTTGTTGCTGTTTTGCTTTTTAAGTTTTTTTTTGAGATGGGGCCTCACTGTCACACACGCTGGAGTGCAGTGGCACAATCACGGCTCACTGCAGCCTCAATTTCCTAGGCTCGGGTGATCCTCCCACCTCAGCCTCCAGAGTAGCTGGGACCACAGGCCCACCACCATGCCCAGCTACTTTTCTTGATTTTTAGTAGAGATGAGATTTCACTATGTTACCCAGCTGGTTTCAAACTCTTGGGCTCAAGCAATCCTCCCACCTTGGCCTCCCAAAGCATTAGGATCACAGGTGTGAGCTGCCACGCCTGGCCTGTTGTAGTTTTTATGTCCTTGATATTTTGATTTCCACTTGATTCTGGATAACTGGTGGAGATGTACATTTTGTGAATATACCCTGGGTTTCAGATGGAATATAAATCTAAAACTAATCCCCTACAAATAATTGCGACTGGTATTTTGGGTCTTTCAGGAAAAGATACGAGCCACACACTGAGAATGAAAAGGACATGAAGCGGGCAATTTATAAGCAGGTTGCCTTTCTGTCCGATGCAGATCTGGGCCAGGCTGACTTTAGCAAGATCTTACTCTTGGTTAGGGTCGAATACCGAGGTCAGCAAACTCTTTCTGTAAAGAGGCACGTAGTAAATATTCGGCTTTGCAGGGCGTAAGTTCTCTTTGGCAACGACTCAACTCTGCATTGTGGCATGAAAGCAGTCACAGGCAACGTATAAACAAATGGGCGATGCCGTATTCCAATAAAGCTTTTCAAAAACAGACTTCAGACTGGATTTAGCTAGTGGTCCTGCGTAATTGCAGTAAAAACTCTCATTTACCAAAAGTTCTTAACGTAATGTTACACCCTCTTAACAGGCTTATTTGTCATCGAGCCAGCTGACAACAAAACATTATGAGACAATGGGAATTTAGACTGCCTTTAAGAAACCCTCAGGATTAAAACACAGTTTGGAATTTGGCTATGTAGAATAATAATAGCTATATAGTAGCTATTAATGGATAAAGCATCACAATAGCTACCAAGCTGTGCCAGGTACTAAAGCCTTATTTCTAACCCTTACACTAAGGTTGCAAGGTTGCTATCACGGTCTTTTTCTTTTCTCTTTTTTTTTTTTCAAGACAGAGTCTTGCTCTGTCACCCAGGCTGGAGTGCAGTGGTGCCATCTCAGCTCACTGTAACCTCTGCCTCCCAGGTTCAAGCAATTCTCCTGCCTCAGCCTCCTGAGTAGCTGGTGCCGAGGCACCTGAGATTACAGGTGTCCACCACCACGCCTGGCTAATTTTTGTATTTTTAGTAGAGACAGGGTTTCACTTTATTGGCCAGGCTGGTCTTGAACTCCTGACCTCGTGATCCACCAGCCTCTACCTCCCAAAGTGCCGGGATTACAGGTTGAGCCCCCGCGCCCAGCCCATTCTCATTTTTAATAATTGAAAACAGCCAGTGTGGCTGTAGTCCCAGCTATGTGAGAGGCTCACTGGAAGCCAGAAGCTTGAGGGCGGCAGTGCTCTATGATCTCTCCAGTCAATAGCACTGGCTTCCAGCCTGGGCTACAGAGTGACCTCGTCTCTAAAAAATAAACAATCTGCAGGTATACAGCTGAAGGAAAAAAAGAAAAAGAAAAAAATTTAAAAAATAAATAAAATAAAAATTGGAAACAAAGACAAAGGGCCGGGCGCGGTGGCTCACGCCTGTAATCCCAGCACTTTGGGAGGCCGAGGCGGGTGGATCACCTGAGGTCAGGAGTTCAAGACTAGCCTGGCCAACATGGTGAAACCCGTTGTCTACTAAAAAATACAAAAATTAGCCGGGCATGGTGGCGTGCACCTGTAATCCCAGCTCTTCAGGAGGCTGAGGCAGGAGAATTGCTTGAACCCGGGAGGCGGAGGCTGCACTGCGCCGAGATCAGACCATTGCACTCCAGCCTTGGTGACAAGAGCGAAACTCCATCTCAAAAAAAAAAAAAAAAGACTTAATAACTTATGCAATATCATATAGCTGCCTTGCTTTCCATTCATATCACCCTGCCTCTAGGCAGTCTTTAGCTAATTCTATTCTCAGCAGTCATTTTGCATACACAGTAATGACTAACCTGTAGACGATAGCAGTCAGCCACCTGGGCGCCCCTTCGCTCATCTATGTGTAAATACGTTATTTCACTGCCAAATGTCTTCCTTCCTTACCTATCAATCTGAATTTTCTTCAGTGTCTCCGTAGTCATGATGGTCTGCCTTGTAGGTTTTTTGAAGACAAGATCCTGCATTTTGTTAAACTCCACAGCGAACCGGCCTCTGTGTCTGATTTCTGGCAAGTTGGGTCCTTCCTCAGTTATTAACGGACTGGGTATTTTTGTGATTGTTGAGGCCATTGGAAGTTTGTCTAGATTCGTTCCTTCTAGATTCATTTCTCTGCTTTTCTTTTAAAACAATAAACAATTAGAAAGAATTTTTTTAAAGAGACAATACAACAAGAAAGAGGCCTTTGTGTACATTTTTCAACATTATCTTCTCTGACTTCTACTCTATACTCCAAGAAAATGTGCCCCTTTCTTCAGCCACACCAAACCACACGCGCCCTGCTGCTAACTTCACACAACATTCTTCTTCTCCGTCATTCCCCAACTTACCACCTGGTACACTCTGCTCAAAAGTAAAGTTCTTTGTGAAATATCTCTGTTAGCAGGCATTTCTCATGTTGTAATTTTTTATAAAGTATCTCCATCAGGTCGTGGTTTCTAGGGTCGGGGGGACAGTGTCTTAGAGATCTTGGTTCCACTTCAAGAAAAACTTTTTTTGAAGACTAGTCTCAAGTTATTTTTGGAACAAGATTGGATATTCAATAAATGTGGCCATCTTTGTAGTCCCATTGCTTAGAACAATGACTAGCATATAGCAGAGACGCAAATGTTCCTTGAACATATGAACTTGAAATACAAATAAAAAAAGGAGAATCATACTAAAAGCAGAGGTTGATAGTACATTTAGTGGTGTGGTGTAGACTTTGAGGATCATGGAGGGAAAAGCCAAAATAATTTTTTTCAGAACCAAACTTGAATATTAAGGGACCGCAGGAACGGCGTATGCCTTTCAGCTGATGGTGCTGACTATTAAGGGACCGCAGGAACGGCCTATGCCTTTCAGCTGATGGTGTAAACTAAACTGTGGCTAAAAGCTTGAGCCACTGAGGCACACGATGCAGCGACTACACATACGGATTCTGAAGCCATGTTTGAATCCTGCTGTCTCTCAACTCTATTGACCTTGGGCAACTAGTTAACATCTCTGTGTCCCCATTTTCCCACTGGTAAAATAAATGGTTATTATTTTAGATTTTGCCTAAGGCAATAAGGGGAAATGTAAGGTCTAGGAGGCTCCACTGTCTTTTTTTTTTTTGAGACAGGGTCTTGCTCCGCCGCCCAGGCTGGAGTGCAGTGGCGCGATCTCGGCTCACTGTGACCTCTGGGATGCCCCATTTTCTGAGTTCCCTAACCACTATTCCTCTACCTTTATACTTGGACATCTGGAAAAGGAACCAAATGTGTCTCATGGCCTGATTTACTGATTACTAGAAAGAAATGTGAATTTTTAGAATAGAATTAAAGAAACGAGCTAAGTGTTCTAGTTGACGCACTAAAAAAAATTTTTTTTGAGACAGAGTCTCACTGTGTCGCTCAGGCTGGATTATAGTGGCACCATCTCCACTCACTGCAACCTCTGCCTCCCGGGTTCAAGCGATTCTCCTGCCTCAGCCTTCCAAGTAGCTGGGATTACAGGCCCACACCATCATGCCCGGCTAATTTTTTTGTATTTTTAGTAGAGATGAGGTTTCGCCATTTTGGCCAGGCTGGTCTCAAACTCCTGACCTCAGGTGATCCACCTGCCTCGGCCTCCCAAAGTGCTGGGATGACAGGCGTGAGCCACCGTGCCTGGCCTCTAAAAATTTACATATATATATATATATAATAATATATTTTATATTGCACATGCTATGTACAAGATAGGGTTTTTTACCGTAAGGAAAAAGAGAAGAAAAACAGTATTCCCTGCAAGAAAACTCTTTCCAAACTTTGGTCAAATCACTCTCATTTCTGGCAGAACCACGTATATTAATATATTTTTCATCCTTTCATTTCATAATTCTAATACATGAAAATGTATCTGGAGATGGCCTTAGCCATAAAAACGGCTTTAAAAGAGGGAAAATGCTAATCTTTCCTCTCAACGTTGTTAAAAGGCTCAAGGATGTCAAGCCTTTGGGAAAGGAAACATCCATATACTAACATTTAAAAATATACAGCCTAGGCCCTACAGGGCAGCGGCATCTTCAAATTCATGAGTCAGAACAACTATAGTACCATGAAATACAAACCAAAAAATATTTTAAGAGATTCACAATTTTTAAAAGATATGAAGCTAACATATTGAGAAATGGGCTTTTAAATTGCTATTAATCAACATGATTAAAGTTACTATAATTATACATATTATATATTACTATTTACACTACAGTAAAATCACAAGGAGGGTTTCTGTTGAGTCAGAAAATTTTGTGGGTAAAAGATCACTATGATAAACCAGAAAAAAACAGTGCAAAAGTTTCATTCATTTACTGGAGTAGTGACCACTGCTGAACACTGTCGATTAATTTAGAACACTGTCATTCTTGATATTCCATGATGGCAAATTACTCTTTTCAAAGGCTGACAGCAGGTAGCATTGAAAAGACTTCATTTATTAACTGAATGCCTTCCCATTTGTTTGTCCTTCCTTCCTTCCTTCCTTCCCTCCCTCCCTCCTTCCTCTCTCTCCTCTCTCTCTCCCCTCTCTCCTCTGTCTCTTTCTTTCCCTTCCTTCCTCCCTCCCTTCCCTTCCCTCTCCCTGCCCTCCCTTCCCCCTCCCTCCCTTCCTACCTTCCTCTCTTCCTTTCTTTCTTTTCCTCCCTCCTTCCCTTTCTTCCTTCCTTCCTCTCTCTCTCCCCTCTGTCTCTTTCTTTCCCTTCCTTCCTTCCTCCCTCTCTCCCCTCCCTTCCCCCTCCCTCCTCTCCCATCCCCCTCCCTCCTCTCCCATCCCCCTCCCTCCTCTCCCATCCCCCTCCCTCCTCACCCTTCCCCCTCCCCCTTCCCCTCCCTCCCTCCCTTCCTCCCTTCCTTCCTTCCTTTCTCTCTTTCTCTTTCTTTCTTTCCCTCCCTCCCTCCCTTCCTTCTTTCTTTCTCTTTCAACAAGGTCTCACTCTGTCACCCAGGTTGGCATGCAGTGGTGTGACCTTGGCTTGCTGCAGCCTCAGTCTCATGGGCTCAAATGATCCTCCCATATCAGCCTCCTGAGTAGCTGGGACTACAGGCGTACGCCACAATTCCTGGCTAATTTTTGTATTTTCTTGGTAGAGACAGGGTCTTCTATGCTGCCCAGGCTGGTCTCAAACTTCTGGCCTCAAGTATTTCTCCCACCTTGGCCTCCCAAAGCACCCATTTTATTTTTTATTCTTGCTGAAGGAGATAATAAATAGGAAGAATACACCAGTCTCTTCTGTACTATTTGTTAGCCAGCTTAAATTGTTAAGATTAGCCTCTTATTTTAAATGCAGTGGAAGATTTTGTTCTTAGATCCTTATCTGTTTGCCCTTCATAAGTTAACAAGGAAGTTAACTTACATTATACAATTCCTGTGATACTTACAGCATTTTAAAACTACCCCAAAACTCGCAGAATGCCAGCTCTGGAAGGGATCTATGGGTCATTTAGGTAAAACTCCATTACAACTTACAAATGAGAAAACTTAGACCAAAAAAGTGAAATGATTGCTAACAGCACGTAACTATATCCCAAACGTCTCCTGACTCCAAATCCATTGTTTTGTAAAATCTTATCTAAACTTTTTAAACTTTAATGAAAGCTTTAAGAACCCGGGCTGCTCGGGAGGCTGAGGCAGGAGAATGGCATGAACCCGGGAGGCGGAGCTTGCAGTGAGCCAAGATCGCGCCACTGCACTCCAGCCTGGGCAACAGAGCGAGACTCCGTCTCACAAAAAAAAAAAAAAAAAAAAAAAAAAAAAAGAGCCCAGGCTGTATATATAACAATAATAATTTAGAAAATTTGAAATTTTAATGGAAAATTAAAGGGAAATTTAATTTTCTTCTCTTGATAAATATGGACTTTACTGTTAGAAATGAAAAGCAAAAACAAAACAAACAAAATGAAAAAAAAAGCAATTTACCCTCTTATTTATATAGCAATTTTCAATGGTCATAGAATCAGACATAAGAATATCTTCTGGGCTGGGTGTGGTGGCTCACGCCTGTAATCCCAGCACTTTGGGAGGCCGAGGTGGGCAGATCACCTGAGGTCGGGAGTTCAAGACCAGCCTGACCAACATGGAGAAACTCCGTCTCTACTAAAAGTACAAAATTAGCTGGGCGTGGTGGCGTAATCCCAGCACTTGGGAGACTGAGGCAGGAGAACTGCTTGAACCCGGGAGGCGGAGGTTGCGGTGAGCCTAGACACTCCTGGGCAACAAGAGCGAAACTCCATCTCAAAAAAAAAAAAAAAAAAGTATCTTCTGAACAAGTTATATAATGTTATTATTTATAACTTGATAAATGTGTACTTCTATTTATAAATTGTTTCCATTTTATACCTACAACCTAAGTTACTGAAATGTACAAGAGCTTAAAAATGCATAAAGACTTTGCTCACTACTAAGTTAATTTTCTGATAACTCAGTGCTGCTTCACAGAGGATTCATCAATGACAACAAAGTCATTTTAGATTAAAGCGTTAAGAGTGGAGTTGAATTTCCTCCCCCTAGTGTTCAGTTAGGTTGCAGCAGCTGAGAAATACAAGTTGGGTGGGACAACTCAGTAATTCCATCTCTTCAGTATATAGATTGTATTCATACTGATTTCAGTAGAGGCCTTTTTGGGTAAAACCAATATACTAGAAAAGGATATTCTGTCTGGTAATATACCTTGAGTTATGGCAATTTCACTCCATCAGTTGAGAGTGCATATCTCAGATAGTTATTGTAGCCCCTTTATCTGAAATAAAGGTGCTATTTCCCACGTGATATTTAATGGCACCAGCCTGGACAACATAGTGAGATCCCATCTCTATAGAATTTTTATAAAAAATTAGCTGGGTGTGGTAGTGCAGGCCTGTAGTCCCAGCTACCCAGGAGGCTGAGGTGGGAGGATCACTTGAGCCTGGGAGGTAGAGGCTGCAGTCAGCCATGATGGCACCACTACACTCCAGCTTAGGCCACAGAGCGAGACCCTGTCAAAAAAAAAAAGAAAAGAAACAAAGAAGGAAAGAGAGAGAGAGAAAGAAAGAAAAATAAGTACATTTAATGGGATAGGTACTATAAATGAGGGAGAAATAAAAAATAAAGCAAAATTAACTCATGGTGAGTGGGTCTATACCACGCAGATGCTCTGTCTCCCTTCGTACTGAACGGGCATGATGTAGTTCAGAATAGAGAGCTGGTCTGTGGTGTCCTCCAGAACTGCCGAGATCCTCAGCACATCTGGAAGGGACAGTGGCTCTAGAGTTTCCGGGATTTCTGGGATGATTTCTATGTCTGTTTCTTTAGGTATTCCTTCTTCTTCTACGGTACTAGGTGGTTCGCCTGTCACTGACACCGTCATCTCAGAATGCCAAACTTTTGGAGGAAGGTTTGAGTCTTCCAGGCTGTCTCTAAGGAAAGAATAAAGAAAAAATAAGTCAGCAACCAATATTTAAACATTACTTTAACTCAAAAGCACAGGCAGCAACGTGCTGGGCTCCTGTGATATTCACATCGTCGTATAATAGAACCTAGATGAAAAAAAAGGAGGATTTGGCGTGTGATTCTGCTAAGTATCTTCCATTTTGACCAACCAAAGGCAAACAACTTACTCTTTTTTTTTTTTTCTTTTTTTCAGATGGAGTTTCGCTCTTGTTGCCCAGGCTGGAGTGCAATGGTGCTATCTCAGCTCACCGCAACCTCTGCCTCCCAGGTTCAAGCGATTCTCCTGCCTCACCCTCCCGAGTAGCTGGGATTACAGGCATGTGCTACCACACCTGGCTAAGTTTGTGTTTTTATTTTATTTTATTTTATTTTATTTTTTTTGAGACAGAGTCTCACTATGTTGCCCAGGCTGGAGTGCAGTAGCGCGATCTTGGCTCACTGCAAGCTCTGCCTCCTGGGTTCACACCATTCTCCTGCCTCAGCCTCCCAAGTAGCTGGGACTACAGGCGTCCACCAACACACCTGGCTAATTTTTTGTATTTTTAGTAGAGACGTGGTTTCACCGTGTTAGCCAGGATGGTCTCGATCTCCTGACCTCGTGATCCGCCCACCTCGGCCTCCCAAAGTGCTGGGATTACAGGTGTGAGCCACCGCGCCCGGCCAGTTTGTGTTTTTAGTAGAGATTGGGTTTCTCCATGTTGGTCAGACTGGCCTTGAACTCCTGACCTCAGGTGATCTGCCCAACTCAGCCTCCCAAAGTGCTGGGATTACAGGCGTGAGCCACCGCGCCTGGCCTACTGTTTAATAAAGGTATGTAGTTCATGCAATTTGGCTATTCTGATCAATTTGAATTTGAGCCAAAATTAACTTTTTTTTCCCTAGGAGTATCTTTGGATGCTAACCAAAAGTGTCTCATGATGAGTGAAAAACAGAATGTGGTATCCAGCCTCCAAGGTGGCCCAAATGATTCTCACTTTCTAGTGTTAACGCCTCTGTGTAGTCTACACCACACCGAGCAGGACTAGCCTATGTAACCAGAAGGTTACGGTGGGGATGACGGAGTGTGACTTGCAAGGCTAGGTGATAAAAGACATTGCAGCTTCTGCCTCACTCTCTCAAATCTCTCACTGTGAGGGAAGACAGCTGCCTTGGTATGAGGACACTTCAGCAGCACTGTGGACACATCCATGAAGGTAAGGAACTAAGGCCTCTTGCCGGCAGCCTGCACCAACTTGCCAGCTCTGTCAATGAACCACCTTGGAAGTGGATACTGCAGCCCCCATCAAGTGTTCAGATCATTGCCACCCCTGGCCAACTTCAAGTTCAGGAGAGACCTCAAGCCAGCACCATCCAGCTAACCTGCTCCTAACCTTGGGACCCACAGAAACTGTGGGAAAGAATAAATGTTTATATTTTAAGTCACTAAGTTCTGGGGTAATCTGTTACGCAGCAATAGATAAGGTATACACAGAAATTTAACAGAAGGCATAATTTAAATACATGTATACAAAAAACATTGGAATTTTAAACATACTCTTCCATTCTTCTGTAGCTTCGTTACCCTCCGTGGTATATTTATAATCTCACAAAAGTGCAGTTACCTAAAATGGGAAAGAAACACTGAGATTAGTTTATGGGCGTCTTGAATGATGTTTCAGTTATTTCTATACCATTTCATTAAGAGAAAATTAAATGATTACGGGAGCTGTGACTATCGCCTCTTTGTGCGGAGTGGAGCAGTCCCAGAGGCGAAAGAGCCTCCGACATCATGGAGTGCAGGTCTATGAAGAAGTCAACTGAGTTATTACTGCTCTACCAAACTCAAGACACATGCACTCTGTGAGCCTCTTCTTTAGGTAAATTAATGTTCAACGTGGTTTTAGTATGTTCTATTATATCACCGATTTTTAATTGGTAATCTCTATATACTTGATTTTTTCTATCATTCTGATTACTGTAATATTTAATTAGGTCACTCAATTCATCTTCTCTGCCAGATAACAGAATTTGCTCCACATGGACTTAGAGGAATAAGTGAGATGACACTTAGAAAAACTGTATTAATTGGGGCCGGGCGCGGGGGCTCACGCCTGTAATCCCAGCACTCTGGGAGGCCGAGGCAGGCGGATCACAAGGTCAGGAGATCGAGACCATCCTGGCTAACACGGTGAAACCCCGTCTCTACTAAAAATACAAAAAATTAGCCGGGCGTGGTGGCGGGTGCCTGTAGTCCCAGCTACTCGGGAGGCTGAGGCAGGAGAATGGCGTGAACCTGGGAGGCAGAGCTTGCAGTGAGCCGAGATCGCGCCACTGCACTCCAGCCTGGGCGACAGAGCGAGACTCCGTCTCAAAAAAAAAAAAAAAAAAAAAGGAAAACTGTATTAATCCTGGAAATCAGTTTAACATTGCTATCAAGATGTTACCCCTCCTCAGTAAACCAAAATCCTTTCTGCTTAAATGAGCTTTACAGTGAAAACCCCTATGGAGAAGTTTGCGTTGTACTGAATGGACAGTGAGTGGTGAGTTTCCAATGTAAATTTGTCCACAATAAAGCAACTCTGAGAGACGTGGTGCAAATATGACTCTTGCAACAAAAATCTTACATGCAAAAATTCAAACACACAAAACAGAATCTTCACATAAATTTGAAAAAGTACTTCAGACTAGCCAAATGTCCTGATGCAGGGGCAGTTTTAGGAGGAAGTAGCATGGTATTAAGCAGAATACCTTTCTTTTTTTCTTTTCTTTTTTTTTGAGATGGAGTTTTTCTCTTCTTGCCTAGGCTGCAGTACGATGGCGCGATCTTGGCTCACTGCAACCTCTGCCTCCCAGGTTCAAGTGATTTCCCTGCCTCAGCCTCCCGAGTAACTGGGATTACAGGCTCACACCACCATTTTGTATTTTTAGTAGAGACGGGGTTTCACCATGTTGGCCAGGCTGGTCTCGAACTCTTGACCTCAGGTGATCCACCTGCCTCAGTCTCCCAAAGTGTTGAGATTACAGGCGTGAGCCAAGGCGCCCAGGCGGATTTTACTTTCTATTTCCATATCTCCTAAGCTGGACCTAGTTGTTGCTGTGTTTGTTTGTTTCCTTGTTTTCTTTTTTGCTTGAACTACTCCAACAACCTCTAAATTGGAAGTGATCTTTTAATTTTTAAATTTTTTTTTTCTGATATCCTGACAGAAGGTTCAGGAAGTGAGCTTTTTAAAATGAAAGGGTGATCTTTTAAAATGGAAAATCTCATCATGTCCTTCCCTAGAACCCTTCAATGGTTTCCCGTTGCCTTAGGACAAAGAAGAAAATTCTTGACTTGGTCCACAAGGTCTGTATGATCTGGGCCCCTCTGTTCCTCTCTAGACCCAACTACAACTGCACTTTCCTTGCTCTCTGGGCTCCAGCCACAGTGGGCTTCTTTCAGTTCTTCTCTGGACTCATGCTCCCTTGCAACTCAGGGTCTTTGCACCTGCTATTCCTTCCAGTGGAGCCACTCTTCCCTCACCTTTTCACCGTGTAAAGTCCCACTGACCCATCACCAGCTTAAGACAGTGTCATTTTTCTAGGTGAAATCTCTAACATTTTCTGTGCTCTGAGAGATGGACCCGTATGGAGTATATCCAGGGGAGATTCCAGAAAGAGATTCAGTGTAGAGAAGTGAGATCAGACATTTATTCTCCCTGCTCCTTCTCTGCCAGAATATAATTGGTTGGTTATGTTCCTCTATCAAAGGTCATGGCTCCTGTCAGGCAATTCTCTCCAAACGTCTCTCTCTGGGCTTAGGTAACTATTTCTTTCCTAGGTCCCGGGAGACTCCATCATCCCTTGTAGTTTCACTCCTGCTTTACCTTTTTTTTTTTTTTTTTTTTTTTTGAGACGGTCTCACTCTGTCACCAAGGCTGGAGTGCAGTGGCAGGATCTCAGCTCACTGAAACCTCCCCCTACCAGGTTGAAGCGATTCTTGTACCTCAGCCTCCCAAGTAGCTGGGATGACAGGCACACACCAACACCCCTGGCTGATTTTTGTATTTTTAGTAGAGACAGGGTTTCACTATGTTGGCCAGGCTGGTCTCAAACTCCTGACCTCAAGTGATCCACCCACCTCAGCCTCCCAAAGTGCTGGGATGACAGGCGTGAGCCACTGCGCCCGGCCCATACTTTGTTTTAAAAAGTATTCTTATCATGCTCTACTAATGGTCATCACCTGCAGTTTGAAAAATGCCTTAACTGACACTTGTCCAAGTGATCCTTTCGCTGACTCGTCAGGCCAGATCAGGCTTCTGGGCACTCATGCCACTACTTTCCCGCAGAGCTGTGTTCACAATTTGTTACGTTAGTGTCAGTTTCCCCCCACTAGACAACTGTTCCATGAAAGCAGCAACATGACAACGATGCTCACAGTTGTATCAGGTGCTAAGTCTCAGTGCTCAATAAGTATTTGTGGAACGAATAATACACGAGCAAACGAATGAAACTCACACTTAATGTGTTATTCCTCCCAGGAGGACTTCCATATAGAACTTTGACAAATCAATATCTAATAGTGAAATTTCTAGCACATTTCTTTCTGGGACAGGGAACACTGGGTGGGGTAGTAGGCTACAAGGTACAAGTTCTATCCTGTTGTATTTAAGAGAGGATCTGATTTTAAAAGTGACTTATATACATCTATTTCATACAACTTCGGAGTCATACTTTACTCTCTCTCATTCCTCATCCACCAGCAAATCTTGCCAGAATTTAAATATATTCAGAATTCCAGTACTCAATATCCTCTGTTTACACACCATCACCTCTCATCATAGTCACTACAGGAACCTATAATTATCTTCCTGCTGATACCCTTGCCTCCCTTCACTTTCAACACAGTGACTTTGTCAATATAGAAGTCAGATAGAGTCACCCTTCTGTTCAGGACCCTTAAATAGTTCCCATCTCAAAGCAGGGGAAGCCTCTTTTACATACTTCCCATCTCAAAGTGGGGAAAGCCTCTTTTACAGTGGCCTCTCTGCTTAATTTTCTTCACAGAAATTATCATCTTCTAACGTGTCATCTATTTTTACTTGCTCATTGTGTTGCTCCGCCTCGTAGGATATAAGCTCCACGAGGGCATAGATTTGTTTACTGCCGTGTCATCTTACACAAACCTTGGTACAGGGTAGTCATTCATTAAACTATGTGTTAAATAAATGAATGAATCCATAGGATAACCCAAATAAATATGCAATAATTCGGAAATGTGAATCTCTGGCGTCCACTAATCCACCTCTACAAGTATCTACGGAGGACCTACTAGGTGCGGACACGAGGCAGCTAAACGAGTTCTCCTAAAAGGGCGATAAAGCCTCCTGCAGGCAGTCCTCCTCATACCTCGGATCCAAAAAGAAGAATGGAGGTAAGAACTTAAGTCATTTCATTCATTTTTTTTTTCTTTTGTAGAGGTTGGGGGAGGTGGTCTCACTATGTTGCCCAGGCTGGTCTCGAACTCCTGGCCTCAAGCGATCCTCCCGCCTCGGCTTCCCAAAGAGCTGGGTTTACAGGCGTGAGCCACTGTGCCCAGTCTCATTTCTTGAAAGAGATAAATAAGTAGAGGGGAGAAAAGAAGTATAGAAAAAGAAAAAAGAGAAGGAAGAGGTCCTGCTGCCTTCGTGCTCCCGGCCTTTCTCTTCCATGCTAGATTAGGATCCCAGAATTTCCGTTCTGTCTATTGCTGTGTGTATCGAGAGAAAAGCACCCCACTGTTGGCAAATCAATCTTACAGTCAATCATTCTTTAGGCAGCGGGAACATCCTCCACTCAGGGTTCGCCTTTCCACCTACGGCGTCCGGGGACGCAGGAAGTAAACTAAGTTGTTTCTATGGCAACGCACAGCTTTGGCGGATTTAGCTGGCTACCATTTTGCCTTCCCTTGTTCCCAAGTAGTACATTTTGCAGCCTACCAAGATGAAAGGACTTAGGAAAATAATTGTAAGAGTGCTATTGAATGTGGCTTATTTCAGTGCGAAGCCGATTTCCGAGGATTGTTTTTCTGGCGTTTGGAGAAGATGCCTAAATTGAGGGCGGAGTCGAAAGATGTTTAATCCCACAAGGCCACGCGGCGGGGCCTCGTCCTTCTCTTACCGCCATCTTGGCTCCTGTGGAGGTGAGTGAAGGGTCTGCTGCTGAAATTTGGGGGCAAATAACCGGAGTAGGTTTGTTCCTGTGCCTTGGCGAGTCGCCGGTGCGTATCGGAGTCTCTGCCAGCCATTGATTTCTACGGGTTTCAAGAAGAGGGAGAACAGGATGGAGGAGATGTTGGGCTGATGGTGTTTGGTCCCCTGACACCCGGAGAACGGCTGCCCGGGTTATCCCAGTTAAATTCCTGGGCCTGAACGGAGTGAAACGATGTTTTTGTTCGTGTGCAGTTGTCCATGAGGCAGTGCTTCCTTCATCCGTTTCCTCCCAGTCCATACCTTCCTTGGCTTGTCTGACCAGTCTCTTTCCTCAGCTTTTCTCCCCCAGCCATTGCATAAAAGTCTTACGTGTGTGTTTCTCTTTAAGGCTTCATTTCTTTTCCTGAGTGTTGCCTACTGATAACGGCATGCATTTTCTCAGGCTTTTCTGAGAGTCATTTTTGTGACTCCTGTCCCTTAGTTTTGTCTTCATTCTGAAGTTTGCTTAGATACCAGCTGTTCTCTGAGGTTTGAATGTCTTGCCGGACCCTGCGTTTCATATGGATGTTCTGGCATTGTTGTCCCCGAACTCCTACATGAAACTCCCATCCAAAAGGAATTTGCTTTAGGGGCTTAAACGAGAGGGGACGAGGTGGGAAACTTGTGTGGCTTGGTTTTAAACTAATCTTTTTGTTTGTTTTAAGGCCTGCTGGGAACGGGACTTCTAAAAGGAACTATGTCTGGAAGGTACGCGTTTTAAATATAGTTCTTTATTTTTGTGTGTTAGACGTGAACGTAAATGCGAGCTTAAAATTGGCAAGAAAAAACTTAGATGTTTGCTCTGAGTAACTTTTGGGTGGGGGTGATTACAAGTCAGATTGGTTTTTTGAAGCTTATGTTTCATGTTGTGTATCTTTTGTGTCTTAGGCTGTGGTCCAAGGCCATTTTTGCTGGCTATAAGCGGGGTCTCCGGAACCAAAGGGAGCACACAGCTCTTCTTAAAATTGAAGGTGTTTACGCCCGAGATGAAACAGAATTCTATTTGGGCAAGAGATGCGCTTATGTATATAAAGCAAAGAAGTAAGTTTATGACACTGGTAGGTTTTGGGTTTTTGAGATCTGCCTCATTTTCTTTTTTATATAACGGAGTCTTGCTCTGTTGCCGAGGCTGGAATGCAGTGACTTGGTCTCCCTCACCGAAACCTCCGCCTCCCGGGTTCAAGCAAGTGTCCTGTCTCAGCCTCCCGAGTAGCTGGGATTACAGGCGCCGGCCACCACGCCCGGCTAGTTTTTGTATTATTAGTAGAGACAGGGTATTGCCATGTTGGCCAGGCTGGTCCCAAACTCCTGACCTTAGGTGATCCGCCCACCTCGGCCTCCCAAAGTGCTGAGATTACAGGCTTGAGCCACCGCGCCTGGCCTCATTATCCTATTGAAATAATAAACAAAAGATTTAGCTGAAGTACTTGGTATTGTTTTTTTGTTTTTGTGACAAGAGTCTCTGTTGCCCAGGTTGGAGGGCAGTAGCGCGATCTTGGCTCGCTGCAGCCTCTGCCTCCTGGCTCAAGCGATTCTCCTGCCTCAGCCTCCTGAGTAGCTGGGCTTACAGGGGTGTGCCACCACGCCCGGCTAATTTTTGTATTTTTACTAGAGAATGGGTTTCCCCATGTTGGCCAGGCTGGATTGGTATTGCTGTGGCTTCTATTTTGCGTCATTAAGGAACTTAATGGGGAGTTTTAGAAGGACGTTACTTCTGAGGGTGGTGTTGGATTTAGGTACCTTTTGCACTTGTAAGCAATAAAGGAGGTAATTCCTTATATTGTGATCCTTTTAAGGTTTCTAATTTTTTTTCTCGGCTCCTTTTGCCAGAATTTAAGGATTTTTAGAACACTTGTGCTTAATGCATTTTGTTAATGCCTTAAAATTATGGGTTTTTTTTTTTTTTTTTTTTTTTTTTGGAGACGGAGTCTCACTGTCACCTAGGCTGGAGTGCAGTAGCACAATATCGGCTCACCGCAACCTCCGCCTCCCGGGTTCAAGGGATTCTCCTGCCTTAGCCTCCTGAGTAGCTGGGATTACAGGCGGCCGCCACCATGCCTGTCTAATTTTTGTATATTTAGTAGAGATGGGGTTTCACCATTTTGGCCAGGCTGGTCTTAAACTCCTGAACTTGTGATCCACCCACCTCAGCCTCCCAAAGTGCTGGGATTACAGGCAGGAGCCACGGTGCCCCGCCCCTTGTTTTTTCTTTTCTTTCTTTTCTTTTTTTCTTTCTTTTTTGAGACAGAGTTTTGCTCTTGTTATCCAGGCTAAAGTGCAATGGCACAATCTCAGCTCACTGTAATCTCTGCTTCCCGGGTTCAAGCGATTATCCTGCCTCAGCCTCCGAGTGAGGTGGGATTACAGGCGTGTGCCACCACACCCAGCTAATTTTATGTTTTTAGTAGAAACGGGGTTTCACAGTGTTGGTCACTCTGGTCTTGAACTCCTGACCTCAAGTAATCCACCTGCCTCGGCCTCCCAGAGTGCTGGGATTATAGCGCAAGTCACTGCACCAGGCCAAAATTAGTTTTTATGCATGCCTAAAGATGTTTATGCTGTAGACTTTTTTTTTTTTTTGAGACAAAGTGTTGCTCTGTTGCCCAGGCTGGAGTGCAGTGGTGTGATCTCAGCTCACTGCAACCTCAGCTTCCCCAGTAGCTGGGATTACAGGCGCGCACCACCACACCCGGCTAACTTTTGTATTTTTAGTAGAGACAGGGTTTCACCATGTTGGCCAGGCTGGTCTCGAACTCCTGACCTCGTGATCCACCCGCCCCAGCCTCCCAAAGTGCTGGGATTACAGGCGTGAGCCATCGTGCCATTGCACCTTAGCCTGGACAACAAGAGCAAATCCTATTGTCTTCACCCACTCCAAGCCAATTAAAATCTCTGGGAAAGTGTTTTAATCATTGCCCCACCTTTTCTTCTACAGCCAATGTGTTCCTTTAAAATTTTAAGTCAGGTGCAGTGGCTCACACTTGTAGCCCCAGCATTTGAGAGCCCTAGGTGGGAGGATTGCTTGATGCCAGGAGATAGAGGCTGCAGTGAGCTATGATTGGGCCACTGTACTGCAGCCTGGGTGACAAGACAACCCCGTGGTCTTTAAAGGAAATATATATAAAGTCATATCCTTTGTACATTGCTCGAACCACAGTAGTTTCTCTCATTCAGTAAAAGCCCGTCATTAAGAGCTCCATAATTCTCTTTATCTCAGCTGGGATTAACCCCTTGGTGTCTTCAGTCTTTCTTCCGGCCAGGACACACACTCCTTGGCCCCAGTGCCTGCGCTAGTCATCCCGTGATCACTTCATGGCATTTCCCCTCCCTTTCCAGTCTTTGTTCCATGGTCACCTCAGTGAGACCTTCCTTGGCTATTTAAAATGGCAGGTAATTCCTCCTTTCTGTACACACAAATATCCTCACACTTGTCCTTTTTTGCTATTTTTTCAATATTGCCTCTGTTATCATCTGACCTATGTATTTTCCTTAAACTTACTTGGTTATCATGTGAAAGATTTTTGTTTTATAGCTGCTGTATTTTACAGAAGGGCCTGGCATACAATAGTTACTCGATAAGTATCTGTTGAATGAATGGTGTTCTAGGCATTTAAAGTTTCTCAGGTGATGAAGTGGGTAACCAGGGTTGAGAGCCACTCGTGTAGAGGTCACCTTGAATTTGTATCCAACTATATCAGCTTGTATTCCTCTTCTTTCCCTTTTTAAAATCAGCAACACAGTCACTCCTGGCGGCAAACCAAACAAAACCAGAGTCATCTGGGGAAAAGTAACTCGGGCCCATGGAAACAGTGGCATGGTTCGTGCCAAATTCCGAAGCAATCTTCCTGCTAAGGCCATTGGACACAGAATCCGAGTGGTGAGTATGGTTTTTAGCAAAATGGACGTCTGATGAATCAGACTAGGTTCAAGGTGTTGTGCTTTGACTTCTGAGGACTTCTGTGGTTGTGAAATTGACACCAGTAAATTATGCTGCAAAATTTGTGTATTGCAGAACACTGGAGAGATAGTAATTGAAAGAATTAGGTGTTTGGTTGTTTGTTTTTTGTTTTTTTTTTGGGGGGAGACAGGGTCTCACTTTGTCACCCAGGCTGGGGTGCAGTGGCATAATCACAGCTTATTGCAGCCTCGACCTCCTGGGTTCAAGCAATCCTTCCACCTCAGCCCCCCAAGTAGCTGGGACCATAGGCGTGTGCCACCACACCCAGCTAATTTTTGGGGTTTTTGTTGTGTTTTTTTGAGACAAGGTCTCACTTTGTCACGCAGGCTGGAGTGCAGTGGCATGATCTCAGCTTGCTGCTACCTTTGCCTCCAAAGTTCATGTGATTCTTGTGCCTCAGCCTCCCGAGTAGCTGGAATTACAGGCGTATATACCACCATGCCCAGATAATTTTTTGTATTTTTGTATTTTGTTTCTCCATGTTGCCCAGGCTGGTCTTGAACTCCTGAGCCCAAGTGATCTGCCCACCTTGGCCTCCCAGAGTGCTGGGATTATATGCTTGAGCCACCACAGCCAGCCTTGAATAAATAGTTTTCTGGTGAAGATATTTATTGGGCACTGAAGTAATTGTTAGAAAGCAACAATTCAACAGTTACGCCTGGCATAATTGTTAATATTTTGCCATTTCCATCATGTCAGTCTTGTTAGAACAGGTGTTAGTAGCTTTATTTTGTACATGAAGAAAACAGACTCTCATGTTCCTAGGTCTCAGGTCTTTGGTGCCAGCCTTGGACTCTAAATTTTTCTCAATTTTCTCCTGTAATTTTTCTCAAATAGTTCGTACTTTTTCTTTAGGGTCCATTTTGGAATGTAGACTGTATATTCTTGGGACCAAGAATATATGCATACCATGTATTCTTGGGGCCAGGGGGTACTGTTGAACCCTGCTAAGTGGTTCATTAGGGTTTATCAACAGAGGAGGCTTTTACTCTGTCTTTAGAAGAAGCAAAATTAAATGTACCTTCAGTACATGTTTTTCTTTTTCTTTTTTTTTTTTTGAGACCAGAGTCTCATTCTGTCACCAGGCTGGAGTGCAGTGGTGGGATCTTGCCTCACTGCAAGCTCCCAGGTTCAAGCGATTCTCCTGCCTCAGCCTCCTGCGTAGCTGGGACTATAGGCACGTACCACCATGCCCAGCTGATTTTTGTATTTTTTAGTAGAGACAGGGTTTTACCATGTTGGCCAGGATGGTCTCTATCTCTTGACCTTAGGATCTGCCCGCCTAGGCCTCCCAAAGTGATGGGATTACAGGTGTGAGCCACAGCACCTGGCCAGTACATGTTTTTTATGAGTGCCGGTTCTTACGGTATGTTCACGTAGAGACTGAAGGCTATAAAAACTTTCCTTACCACTAGAACATGTAATTGGTAGCCTTTCAGAGATTTATCCGTATTACGGTTCTTGATTTGTAGACGTATATATAACATTCACCTAATGTTTTGTGTTCTTTTTTCCCTGCAGATGCTGTACCCCTCAAGGATTTAAACTAACGAAAAATCAATAAATAAATGTGGATTTGTGCTCTTGTATTTTTAAGTGGATTAAAAAACTTACTACCTTAAATTGATTTGCTACATGCTTAAAATGATAGAGGTTGCTCAGCATTTTTGGAGTACAAGGGGGTCAGAGAGACATGTGATGAAAATTACAGGGCGAGTACAGAGATTTAGAAGGGAACGGGTTTTAATGCGAGTATCTTTGACAGAGTCTTGCTCTGTTGCCCATGCTGGAGTGTAGTGGTGCTCGCTGCAGCCTCACATTCAAAGGCTCAAGCAATCCTCCCTTGGCCTTTGAAGTAGCTGGGACCACAGGCTCATGCCACCATCCCTGGGTCATTTTTAAATTTTTTGTAGAGAGGGTCTGACTCTTGCCTATGCTGGCTTCAAACTCCTGGGCTCAAGCAATCCTCCTTCCTTGGCCTCTCCTGAAGTGCTGGGATACAGTTATGAGCCACCACACCTGCCAAGTGCTTTGTGATACTATGCATTTGTTCAATGCAGATTGGGAAACTTAAAATTTGAATGGAGATTATGTTGATGGGCTTTGGCAGTTCATTTGGATAGACTGGGATGAGAAGCTCTTGGGACTTGTGACTGGACAAAGCATTCCAGTATATTAAAATAAAATTAAGCCATATTACTCCACTCATAAAAAGCAATCCTATGGTAGGTACATGGAGGTTGGGAATAGTGCACGGAAAGGTGGCAGCTTTCTTTGGCTTCATGTTTTAATCTGGTAAAGTTCAAGATTGCACTTTAAGCAGGCCTCCTAAATATTTTAGATTTCTTGGGGATATGCTAAAATAAAACAACTAAGGCATCAGTTTTGCTGTATGGTTTTTTTTTTTTTTTTGAAGACAAGGTCTTGTTTTGTTGCTTGGGCTGGAGTGCAGTGGCGTGATTACAGCTTACTGCAACCTCAACCTCAACCTCCTCGGCTCAGGCAAACCTCCTGCCTCAGCCTCCTAAATAGCTGGGGCCACAGGCATGTGCAGCCACAACCAGTTAACTTTTTAGTTATTTGTGGAGATGGGCCTCACTATGTTGCCCAGGTAGTACTACATTTCTAACTGATGCAGTAACAGTCTTTTTGTCTGCCCCCTGAGGGTTACTGATCTCTACAGCACAGGTAGTTTTTTAAATTAACATCTTTAAATTGCACTGAAAATGTCAACAAGAAACTGGGAGTTTGCCACCTAAGCCCTTTTGCAGTTTTGCAGCGTGTATGGGTTCTCTTGTCTATGCTGCAAAAGAATTAACATGCTGGAAATGTATTAGGATAAGAGGGTGAAAGAAAGGATTGGGTAGGAAAAGCACACTGGCTGTTGTGTTATTTGGTCTTCCATCTCCTGGAGACAGGACTGAGAAGGAAAGTTTTTGTAGTAAGGGAAAAGAGTGGGAATACTGTCCAGCTTTCCCACTTCCCCTTCCTCCAGTAACATCCTGTTACAAATCTGCTAACCTACAAAGAGGGTAGTGAGATATACTGACCCAAGAGAAAGCAAGACGCCCTCCCCCAGAGGTCCCTCTGTCACACTGGCAGTTCTAAGAAAGGTTTGGTCAGTCCAATGGTGGTATGCAAGCCAAAGCTGCCATTGTTGGAGTCCCGTGCTTCGTGGACATGGGCTTGTGTTAGTACTCTGCCAGGCTCATTTATTAGGATTGTGGTGGTTTTTTTTTTTTTTTTTTTGAGACAGTCTTGCTCTGTCGTCTAGGCTGGAGTGCAGTGGCGCAATCTTGGCTCACTGCACGCTCCGCCTCCCGGGTTCACGCCATTCTGTCTCAGCCTCCCAGGATTGTGGTTTTAAGGCAAACAAAGTGCACTGATGCTGTATTCACCAGAAGTGAGCAGTACTTCAAGGCCGGAAGTTGGAAGTTGTATATTAGAATGCTAATGAAATTGAACTTGGGAATTACGCAGTCAGCGCGAGGAAGTGCTGATCTTGGACACCCACTCCAAAAGGCCAACATAAGCTAAAAGTACCTACTGTGTTCATTGTGCCAGTTAAGTAGATGTGATCAGTAGTACTCGGGGTATTCAGGGATAGAGGCATGTAGGTATACTGGCTGCGTAACATAAAACCGTAAAGTGTAGAGGAAGAAATAGGGCGGCATCTCAAAGAGGAAATGGCAGGAAGATTTTAGGAACACAAGTGGCTGACTGGAAAGTCCAGAAAACTAAAATGCCACATGAGAGGTCTCCTGTACTGAACTGAGGATCTTAGGCTTAAGATTGTTCTTGAGTGTAATACAACGTCACTGAAGAACTTGATTCACAGGAAATTTTAAAATTTACTCATTTGAGACAGGGTTTCTGTTGCCCAGCCTGTAGTGCAGTGGTGTGATCATAGCTCACTGCACCTTTGAACTTCTAGGCTCAGACAATCCCCTGCCCACAACCTCCAGAGAATCTGGTGCATGCCAGGCACGTCCAGCCAATTAAAATGTTTTTTCGGGGTCCCAGGCTGGTCTCGATTCCTGGCCTCAAGTGATCCCCCTGCCTTGTTCTCCTAAAGTACTGGGATTACAGATATGAGCCACCAGCTCAGATTATTTCAAATCCCAATGGCATCCCAGCATAAACAAGGGAAAATTAGGTGGGCTTTTCAGTCTCAAATGGAGAATTCTAACATGTTTCTGGCTTTGGGGGCTGGATGGATAATGGTGCATTTACAAAGTTGGGGAATCAGGAGATGGTTTTGTGGGAGGAGCTAAAGTTGAATTTGAGGAAGCTGTAAGATGTTAACCTGTGGACATATCCATGAAGACAGATGGGTATTTCAGGTCTGGGTTAGGCATATGGAGAAGTGGATGGTATTCTGAGTGGAACAGACACACGGTAAGTGGTAGGCATCTGAGCAAAGCGGGGGAAAACAAACGGTTGAGACTTTAACTCGAGTAACTTACATGTGCAATGGCAAATGAGACTCAAAAGCAAATACATGCTCTTCCTTACTGAGATGATGCAGCATTTGTAAATAATAAATGTATGTTTTTATGTTTTTCTCCTCCCATATGGAAATTAAGTCAAAAGTACTCAAGTCACCGTTGCCAAAGGAGGAGTCCTGTGGTTTACAGGAAAGGGCTTGCGTGGCTGGTAACTTGTCCACTACACCATTGAAACAGCTTTGCCTCCTGGCTGGGCGCGGTGGCTCACGCCTGTAATCCCAACACTTTGGGAGGCGGAGGCGGGCGGATCACCTGAGGTCATGAGGTTGAGACCAGCCTGGCCAACGTGGTGAAACTACGTCTCTACTAAAAACATAAAAATTGGCCGGGCGTGGTGGCGGGTGCCTGTAATCCCGGCTACTCGGGAGGCTGAGGCAGGGGAATAGCTTGATCCCGGGAGGCAGAGGTTGCATTGAGCCGAGATTGTGTCACTGCACTCCAGCCTGGGCGACGAGTGAAACTCCGTCTCAAAAAAAAAAGAAACAGCCTTTCCTCAGCATAACACTATTGTTACAGCCAGGAGCTTAGGATGACTGGTTCCATTCTTTATTCACAATAGCAATTTATTTGTGGTATTGTAGTGGAAAGGGCACGTTTCCTAAGTTACAAATGTGGTTTGGAATCCCACCTTCCACTAGTTGTGGGATGATACACACATTTAGTGAGTATTTACTTGTAAAATGGTAATACTTAAAACACCACCCCATCCTCGTAGCTGAATCTCCACCCATAGTTTGTAACTTGAGGTTTTCCTTCTTTCCTACTCCTTCATTTCCCAGTATAGTAGCTTACCTATTCAATTCCCGTTGAATGACTTCCAGCTCAGTGAGTTCGTAATTTTACTTCTTAGTGTCATGAGCCACTGGGATTTGTCCCAATTTCCCATTTTGTATAGTTCCTCACGGCTCAGTTTCGAAGGCAAGGTTTCCTTAATGGCCAGGATCCCCCTTATCTCAGGTGCAGTGGCAATTCTTGGCTGGAAACTAAAAGATGGAGTTGAGTAAAACAGTAAACGGTGTATCATAGATTTTTATAGGAAATGGCGTTAGTTAAGTAATGGGCCTAAAGTTGGTGACTCAGGATAAGTAAATGAAAGTATTCCACTCACCTTTTCATACAGAGGACTACACTGAAAGATTTTGCAGAGGGTTGTATGTACGTCTAAACACCTGGCACCTAGTAGGTGCATGTCACTTTGGTAAATGAAAGAACTGAAAAACTGCCTCAAGACACCCACATACGGCCAACGCCCGCTAGCCTTTCTTCCTCCCACAGCCCCACTCACGTGGGCCTCCAAACAGCATTTATTGGCCGGCTTCGCGCCACGAGACGCGATGGACGTGATCGCCGCCCTCATCTTCTGCGGCGAACTTCTAGCGGGTGACGCTGTCCAATCGGAAAGCGCCTTTCCGCCGGCTGGGCCCTCCGTCTACCCCCAGCGGCGAGGGGCGGGGCCGGCGCGGGCGCAGAGGCGTCACGCACTCCATGGTAACGACGCTCGGCCCGAAGATGGCGGCCGAATGGGGCGGAGGAGTGGGTTACTCGGGCTCAGGCCCGGGCCGGAGCCGGTGGCGCTGGAGCGGGTCTGTGTGGGTCCGAAGCGTTTTACTCCTGTTGGGCGGGCTCCGGGCCAGCGCCACATCTACTCCCGTCTCCTTGGGCAGTTCCCCTCCCTGCCGGCACCACGTCCCCTCTGACACTGAGGTAGGGCGACATGGGCGGGAGCGGGCCCTCTCAGGGTAAAGTCACCCAGAAGGAGCAGGCGTAGGAGATAGTGACTGGGAGAAGGTGTCCTGGATGAGAAAGCGAAATTGGGGCAGAGCCTGACTCTTACAGGCCTGGGACCCGCTCTCAGCTCCCTACACCCTGCAAGTTGGCTGTTAGGCGCTCAGAACAGTATCACTTCTGTGCGGAGGGTTGTGCTTAGCAGTAGCCCTCGAGGAGTGGTTTTCAAACTTGAGCGTGCATCACAGTCACCCGACGCACATGGTACAACACGGATTGCCGCCCTCAGTCCCCCACTTAGTGACTCAGTAGGTCTGGGATGAGTCCCCAGAGTTGACAGTTTACGTTCCCAGCTGGTTGGTGAGATATGCTTGTCCGGGGACCACTTTAGGAACCGCTGACCTGAAGTTTCGGGAAGACATTGAACGGAGAGCCAGATAGAGGCGTTGGTGGGACGTTGGGGGCTCACTGGAGACAAAATTCAGGTTTCTTTTCACGTTATGTCGTCACTTTGTTTGCTTTACCCGGTTCCTCTGCTCTGGAAGTGCCTGCCCGCCTCCCATCCCATTTTTCTCTCTGCTTAAATTCTTTGTCTCATTTCAAATTCCCTAACCTCAAGGCAGCCTGCTGAAACCACCACAGCGCAATATTCTTTTCATTAAAAAGTACATCGTGTCTGTACTCCCTCCTGGCATTTAACCAAGTACTGCTATGGGATAATGGCTTATTTTTTAGGCGTATCTTGCCTTTGCAGTTAGATTATAAGGTTCCGTGGGATAAGGTTTGTGTTTCATACTTTGATTCCTTCACAGTATTTAGGTCAGAGGTGGGTCCACGATAATCCATATTCTTTGAGAAAGGGAGAGTACCTGGGGCAGGGCTGCATGCTGATACACCTACACATGTTCAATTCAGCCCAGAAATCTAAAGACACTCATTTTTATGGTAATTTCCCAAAATGTTACATGCATACTCTTCATAACCAAGTGAGCCAAAATATTAACTTCGGAGTTTATAGCTTTTTTGCAGCTTTTATCATGCTGCATTTTCGCTGAATTCTTTAAAAAAAATTTCCCACAAAACCCTGCACTTCTCTCTTTTAATTTGGATTAAAATAAGAGAAAGAGTCCTGGTCCCTAATACGTTTCGCTAGTTCCTCATAGAGTATATAAATACCCTGTCGTCCTCACTATTCTCCTTGTTTTAACCTGGACACGGAGTATAGCCAGGAGCTACAGTGTTCACTGTAGTTACGCTAATGACTATACCTCTGTTCAATGCTACAGGAAATTACATAACTTTTTTGGTTTTGGTGGTGTTGGGGAGCTACAAAACAGTTTTACTTTTTAACTGGTTCTCAACTAAAGCCTGTAAGTTTTGTTTTTACCTTTTATTACGCCGGTACAAACAACATCAGAATAATTTAATGAACCCGCATGGACCCATCACCTAGCTTTAACACCTAGCTTTAAGGTTCCGCCATTCTTGTTTCATATACTTTCAGCCATTCCGCAGCCCCCTACTTGAGTTACTGTTCTTTTGAAGTTTTTTGGTAAAATTTACATATATTGAAATGCCACAAATGTATCCATGCACATCCACATAAAGCATACAACCCATCACAACATAGAACGTTCCCACATCTCCAGACGTTCCCTCCTGTCCTGTGCCAGTCTCCTGCCCACCCCAGGCAACTAGTTTTCTAATTGTTTTTTTTTTAAATACTAGATTAGTTTGGCCAATTCTAGAGCTTCGTGTATTGAATGGAATTATATGGTATGTACTCCTCTGTATTTGGCATCTGCTCAGCATTATGTCTGTGAGATTCGTGTTGTATGTGATAGTAATTTATTCCTTTGAATTGCTGAGTATTCCATTGAATACTTATATCACAATTTGTTTTTCCGTTATCTTGTTCAAAGATGGGTATTTTGGTTTCTTCCAGATTTTAGCTATTATAAATAAAGCTGCTGTCAATATTCTTGTACAGTAATTTTTGTGGATATATGTTTTCATTGTTCTTGGATAAATACCTAGGGGTGAAATTACTGGGTCAAGGGTAGGTGAATGTTTATAAAAAATACTAACCCTTTCTCCAAAATACTCTACCATTTTACACCCCCATCAACAAAATATTAGTTATGGTTGCTGCATATCCTCACCAACAGATGTCCTTTCTAAGAAATCTTTAAATACCCCCTAGGTCATAAAAATATTCTCCTGTGTTCTAGAAGCCTTCACTTTTAGGATTATGATTCATCTGAAATTAATTTTTATATATGATGTGAGATAGGGGATCAATATCCTTTTTTTTTTTTTTTGCCCCATATGGGTATTCAGTTGCCTGGATTATGTACCTCTGTAATAAATATTGAAATCAGACAGTATTGTTATTGTAAGCATTCCTGCTTTGTTCTTCCTTTTCAAAATGATTTTGGCTATTTTAAGGCTTTTATATTTCCATATAAATTTATTTATTTTTTGGCAGGGGGAGGCTCAAAGACAGATCCATATAAATTTTAGAGTCAGCTTCTCAGTTTCTTCAAAAAAGCCTGATGGGTTTATGATTGGGATTGCATTTACTCTATAGATGATTTGGAGATAATTGACATCTAACAGTATCAAGTCTTTCAATCCATGAACATAATGTATGTTTCTCCATTTATTGAGGTGATGCATAATTTTTCTCAGCAAAAATGTATAGATCTTGCATTTTTTCTTCTGTTTTCTTTTCTCTCTCTTTTTTTTTTTTGTTTTGTTTTGAGACAGTCTTGCTCTGTCACTCAGGCTGGAGTGCAGTGGCAGAATCATAGCTCACAGCAGGCTTGAACTCCTGGGCTCAAATGATCCTTCTGCCTTAATCTCCCAAGTAGCTGGGACTCCCAAGTATGCGCCACTACACTTGGCTAATTTTTTATTTTTTGTTGAGACAGAGTCCAGGTGGGTTTTGAACTCCTGGCCTTAGGCGATCCTCCTGCCTCGACCTCCCAAAGTGCCAGGATTACAGGCATGAGCCGCCGTGCCCAGCCAGATCTTGCATGTTTTTTGTTAAATGTTTTCCTAAGTCTTTTATTTTTTGATGCCATTGTCAGTGGAATTATGGTTAAAGTTTTCCAGTTGTTTGCTGCTAGTATGTAAAAATACACTGCTAGTAGGTAGAAATAATTTTTGTATATTAACCTTGTCTTCTGAGACCTAGCTAAACTTATTTATTCTACTAGGGTTTCCTCCCTTACAATTTTTGATGTTAGCAATGTATTAACTATAAATAGGAACAATTTTTGTTGTTGTAGTTTTGTATCATTTATGTATTTTTTCCCCCTTATTGCTCTGGTGAGGACAGGCAGTTCCAGGCTGAGCAAAAGTGAGATAGCACGCCTCCTTGCCATTTGTTCCTGATCTTAGGACCAGTCTCTGACCATTAAGTATGATGTTAACTTTACATTTTTTTGTAGTTCCCTTTATCAGATTGAGAAAGCTCCCTTTGGTTTCTGGTTTCCCGAGGGTTTTTATCCTGAATGGGGACAAATTTTGTCAAATGCTTTTTGTTTTTTCTGGTAATTATTGAGATAATCATATAGTTTCTCACTTTATGAACTGTTATGTGGTAGATTACATTGCATTTTCCAATAGTAAATCAACGTTGCTTTTTTGGGATAAACCTTACTTGGTCATGTTGGCTTTGGTAATTTTCTTTAATGTTTGTTTCTATTTCATTGTTTTCTGTTCTTTGTTATTTCCTTTTTCTACTTATTGTGGATTTAGTTTGCTCATATTGTTAGGCGGAAACTTAGATGACTGTTTTTTAACCTTTTTTTCCTTCTAATGTAAACATTCAAAGATATAAATTTCTAAGTACAACTTTAGCTGCTCTTCACAAATTTTGACACTTTGCATTTTAATTATCATTTAGGTTAAAATTTTTTTTTTGTTTTTTGTTTTTTGTTTTTTTTTTTTGAGACAGAGTCTTGCTCTGTTGCCCAGGCTGGAGTGCAGTGGCGCAATCTCAGCAGAGCAACCTCGGCTTCCTGGGTTCAAGCTATTACCCTGCCTCAGCCTCCTGAGTAGTTGGGACTACAGGTGCACGCCACCACACCCAGCTAATTTTTGTATTTTTAGTGGAGATGGGGTTTCACCATGTTGGCCAGGATGGTTTTGATCTCTTGACCTTGTAATCTGCCTGCCCTGGCCTCCCAAAGTGCTGGGATTACAGGCGTGAGCCACCACGCCCGGCCTAAAAAAGTTTTTTAAGAGACAGGGTCTTGGTCGGGTGCAGTGGCTCATGCCTGTAATCCCAGCACTTTGGGAGGCCGAGGTGGGTGGATCACCTTAGGTCAGGAGTTTGAGACCACCCTGGCCAACATGGCGAGACCTGTCTCTACTAAAAATACAAAAATTAACCAGGTATGGTGGCGGGCACTTTTAATCCCAGCTACTCTGGAGGCTGAGGCAGGAGAATTGCTTGAATTCAGGAGGTGGAGTTTGTAGTGAGCTGAGATTGTGCCACTGCATTCCAGCCTGGGCGACAAGAGCGAAACTCTGTCTCAAAAAAAAAAAAAAAAAGAAAGAAAGAGACAAGGTGTCCCTCTGTCACCCAGGCTGGAGTGCAGTGATATGATCATAGCTCACTGCCACCTCGAACTCCTGTGTTCAAGCAGTCTCCCCGCCTCAACCTTATGAGGAGCTAGGACTTCAGCCACATGCCACCACACCTGGCACATTTTTTATTTTTATTTTTGTAGAGACAGAGTCTTGCTGTGTTGCCCAGATTGGTCTTGAACTCCCAGTTTCAAGCAATCCTCCTGCTTCAGCCTCCCAAAGTGCTGGGATTACAAGCGTGAGCCACTGCACCTGGCTGAGATTATTTTATTTATGGTTTAGAATATGATCTATCCTGTTTAATTTTTCACGTGTACTTGTGAAGAATATATATTCTATAGTTTTTTTTTATTTTATTGTTTTAGAGATGGGATCTCAGTATGTTGCCCGGGCTGGTCTTGAGCTCCTGGACTCAAGCAATCCTCCTGCCTTGGCCTCCCAAAGTGCTGGGATTATAGACATGAGTCACTGTACCTGGCCTATTCTGTAGTTATTGAATATAGATTTCTATACATGTTAATAAGCTGAGGTGATTGATACTTTACTTCAGATTTTCTCTATTAAAAACTATTGGCCAAGTACAGTCACTCATGCCTATAAGTCTAGCTCTTTTGGAGGCCGGGATGGCAAATCGCTTGAGCTCAGGAGTTCAAGACCAGCCTGGGCAACTTAGTGAAACCCCGTGTCTACAAAAAATACAAAAATTAGTTGGGTGTGGTGTTGTACACCTGTAGTCCCACCTACTTGGTGGGGCTGAGGTGGGGGAATCACTTGAGCCCAGGAGGTGAAGGCTGCAGTGAGCCAGGTTGGCACCACTGTGTTCTAGCCTAATAAAGACTGTATTAATACAGGAGAAAATAGGTGTATTTAGCTTGCTTGTGGTTCAAGCTTACATGTGTATCTTTTCAGTTGCCTACATTTACCTGTGTGTATGTGTGTGTGCTTGTGCATTTTAGGCATTACAACATATATCTTTTGTTTATTGCATGTTTTTATTTTTGAGACAGAGTCTCTCTCCGTTGCCCAGGCTGGAGTGCAGTGACACAATCTTGGCTCACTGCAACCTCTGCCTCCTGGGTTCAAGCAATTCTCCTGCCTCAGCCTCCAGAGTAGCTGGGATTACAGGCACCTGCCATCATGCCCGGCTAATTTTTGTATTTTTAGTAGAGACAAGTTTCGCCATGTTAGCCAGGCTAGTCTCAAACTCCTGACCTCAAGTGATCCACCCGCCTCAGCCTCCCAAAGTGTTGGGATTACAGGCATGAGCCACTGCACCTGGCCTATTACATCTTTAATGTTAATATTATCACACTGTCTGGGGCATGATGTTGAATAAGAGTGGTGAGAGTAGACATCCTTGTCTTGTTTCTGATCTTAGAGGGAAAACATTGTCTTCCACTGTTAAAAATATTAATTGTGGAGTTTTTGGGTAGGTATGCTTTATAAAATTAAGAAAATTCCCTTCTATACCTAGTTTTCTAAGAGTTTTTTTTTTTTTTAATCATGGATGGATGTTGAATTTTGTTAACTGTCTTTCCTGCACCAGTTGATACAATCATGTGGCTTTTCTTCTTTACTCTGTTGATATTATGAGTTACATTGATTGATTTTTTTTGAATGTCAAATCAGCCTTGCATTCTTGAGATGAACCTCACTTGGTGATGATTTATTACCCTTTTTACATTTTGCTGGGTTTGAGTTGCTCATATTTTGTTGATGATTTTACATCTATGTATTTTTATTTTTTTAGAGACAGGGTGTTACTCTGTCATCCAGGCTGGAGTATAGTGGCACAATCATAGCTCACTATACAGCCTTAAATGACTTGGCTTAAGCAGTCCTCCTGCCTCAGCCTCCCAGTTAGCTAGGATTACAGGTGAGAGCCACCACACCTGGTTCATTTATTTTCATGTTTAGTGGATATGGGCTCTTGCTGTGTTTCCCAGTCTCGTCTGGAGCCACTGGGCCCAAGGAGTCTTCCTACCTTGGCCTCCCAAAGCTCTGGGATTGTAAGTGTGAGCCACTGCACATTTACATCTATATTAATAAGGGATATTGGTCTGTAGTTTTTTTAATTTTATTTTTTAAATTTTATATTTATGGTTTTTTACCAACTACCTGCAAGGATACTGGTCTGTAGTTTTCTTTTCCTCTCTAATAATAACTTCAGGTTTATCGGGGGAACCCGCCCCCAATATTTCAAAGTAGGTTCTTTCTATTTTCCCTAAGTGTCAGCCAGCTGAGAAATACAGAGAAAGAGTACAAAGAGTGGAATTTTACAGCTGGGCCTCCAGGGATGACATCACCTATCAGTAGGACCGTGATGCCCGCCTGAGCCGCAAAAGCAGCAGGTTTTTATTAAGGACTTTAAAAGGGGAGGGGGTGTACGAAGAGGGAGTAGGTCACAAAGATCACATGCTTCAAACAGCAAAAAGGAGAACAAAGATCACATGCTTCTGAGGCCAGTAAAGACCACAAGGCAAAGGGCAAAGCAAAGATCACAAGGCCAAGGGCGAAATCAAAAACTCCTGATAAGGGTCTGTGTTCAGCAGTGCACGTATTGTCTTGATAAACATCTTAAACAACAGAAAACAGGGTTTGAGAGCAGAGAACCGGTCTGACCTCAAATTCACCAGGGTGGGGTTTTTTCCCCACCCTAATAACCCTGAGGGTACTGCAGGAGACCAGGGCATATTTCAGTCCTTATCTCAACCACATAAGACAGACACTTCCAGAGTGGCCATTTATAGACCTCCCCCAAGGAATGCATTCCTTTCCCAGGGTCTTAAATATTCATTGCTGGGAAAAGAATTTAGCGATATCTTCCCTACTTGCACATCCATTTATAGACTCTCTGCAACAAGAAAAATATGGCTGTATTCTGCCCAACTCCTTAGGCAGTCACACCTTATGGTTGTCTTCCCTTGTTCCCTAAAATTGCTGTTATTCTGTTCTTTTTCAAGGTGCACTGATTTCATATTGTTCAAACACACATGTTTTACAATCAATTTATACAGTTAGATACAATTATCACAGTGGTCCTGAGGTGATGTACATCCTCAGCTTAGGAAGATAACAAGATTAAGAGATTAAAGTAAGACAGGCGTAAGAAGTTATAAGAGTACACTGGGCGTGGTGGCTTATGCCTGTAATCCCAGCAATTTGGGAGGCCGAGGCGGGCGGATCACGAGGTCAGGAGATCGAAACCATCCTGGCTAACACGGTGAAACCCCGTCTGTACTAAAAATAAAAAAAAAAAATTAGCTGGGTGTGGTGGCAGGCACCTGTAGTCCCAGCTACTTGGGAGGCTGAGGCAGGAGAATGGTGTGAGCTTGCAGTGAGCTGAGATTGCACCACTGTACTCCAGCCTGGGTAACAGAGCAAGACTCTGTCTCAAAAAAAAAAAGAAAAGAAATTGTAAGAGTATTATTTGGGAACTGATAAATGTCCATGAAATCTTCACAATTTATGTTCAGAGATTGCAGTAAAGACAGGCATACGAAATTATAAAAGTATTAATTTTGGGAACTGTATGTGTCCATATTAAAATGAAATCTTCACAATTTATGTTCCTCTGCCGCGCCTCCAGCCGGTCCCTCCGTTCAGGGTCCCTGACTTCCTGCAACACAGGTTTGGTATCAGGATAATGCTGGTCTCATAGCATGAGTTGGGACATGTCCCATTTTCTTCTATATTCAGGAAGAGTCTCTGTAGAATCAATGTTGTTTCTTCCTTAAATGTTTAGTAGAATTCACTAATTAAGCCATCTCAGTCTGGAATTTTCTTTTTTGAAAGTCATAAACTATGAACTCATAAACTTTGATATTGGACTATTCAGGTTATTTATTTCTTAACAGTGTTTTATTAAGTTATGTCTCTCAAAGAATTTCACTTCATTTAAGTTGTCAAATTTATGGACATGAAGTTTTTCATAACATTCCTTTATGATCATCTCTAAATTGCTGGAAAGTCTGTAGTGATATCTTCTGTGTAGTTTCTGACATTGGTAGTTTGTATTCTCTCTGTCTTTTTTTTTTTTGAGATAGGGTCTCACTCTGTTGCCTAGTTTGAAGTGCAATAGCACGATCACTGCTCACTGCAGCCTTGAACTCCTGAGCTCAAGCAATCCTCCCACCTTAGCCTCCCAAAGTGCTGGGATTATAGGTATGAGCCACCATGCCAGCCTTAGTGCTTTCTTTGAGTTTAATATATATATATTTTTTTTAGTATCTTAAGGTGGAACCTTAGATCATGAATTTGAGATCTTTTTTCTAAAATAGGCATTTAAAGCTATCAGTTTCCTCTAAATACTCCTTTAGCTGTATCCCACAAATATTAACTTGTAATTTTATTTTCATTTACTTCTATTTTCTAATTTCCCTTGTAATTTTCTCTACTAACTAAGGGTTATTTAGAAGTTTGTTGTTTGATTTTTTCAAAAGTATTTGGGGATTTTCCCAGATATTGTTCTGAAATTGCATTCTAGTCGAATTTTGTTATTGATAGAGAGCATCCTTTTTACCAGTTCTTTTATGTCTTAAAGTTTGTTTTATGGCCCAAAATATGATCTAGCTAGGTGAATGTCCCACACGCACTGAAGCAGAATGTACAACACAAAATATTGAGTGTTTGCTCCAGTGACTACAATATATGTAGTGTACTTATGGTATCTATTTAAAATAGTCATGTTAAATATGGGACATTTTCAACAGCATAATTTCATTCATTTTGCTGTTGTTGTAATATAATATTGTAAATATATTAATATATGACTTCTTTATATATTTTAAACCTCACAATTAGGCCAGCACAGTGGCTCATGCTTGTAATCCCAGCACTTTGGGAGGCCGAGGCTGGCGGATCACCTGAGGTCAGGAATTCAAGACCAGCCTGGCCAACGTGGTGAAACCCTGTCTCTACTAAAATTACAAAAGTACAAAAATTAGCTGGGCATGGTGGCAGGTGTCTGTAATCCCTGCTACTCAGGAGGCTGAGGCAGGAGAATTGCTTGAACCCAGGAGGCGGAGGTTGCAGTGAGCCAAGATTGTACCACTGCACTCCAGCCTGGGCAATAGAGAGAGACTGTCTCAAAAAAACCCAAAATAAATAAATAAAATAAATAAAAAAAATAAACTTCACAATTAAAAATTTTACAATTTTTGCTTTAAATATTTATTTGTCTCCAAAGAAATTAACAGAAGAAAAGAAGTGTGTATAATTGTGTTGAGGATTCCCAAGACCACTCCAGGTTTGGTGATTGCTAGGTGGCCTCGCTAGATTCAGCTTGTCGTCATACTCACAGCTGAGATTTATTACAGTGAAGGCATACAAAGTAAAATCAGCAAAGGGAAAAGGATCATGGGACAAAGACTAGAGGAAATTAGGCAAAAACTTCCAAGAGTCCTCTCCTAGTAGAGTCACTTAGGACCTGCTTAATTCCTTCAGCAGTGAGTTGTGACAGCGTGCACAAAGTGTGGTCTACCAGGGAAGATTACCTGATTCTTAGAGTCCAGGGTTTTTATTGGAGGCTGGTCACGTAGACAAAATTTCAGCCACTGAAATTTCAGACTCCAGAAGCAAGCAAATGTTCAACATAAACCATATTGTTTCTGCAAATAGTTTAGACACAATGAGCCATCCTTATAACCTAGTGAAGTTTTAAATTACACTTCTAGATGCCAGCAAAAGGTCAACCTTGCAAGCAGGACTTCCTACAGAGAGCAGCAATCTCTGACCTGCTGTGTTGACTCTTCTGCACAATAGTCTTTCATATCTATTCACGTATTTACCATTTCCAATAGCTTTTATTTCTTCCTACAGAAACAGGTTACCCTTTTGTGTTATTTCCATTCCCACGAATAACTTCTTTTAGCATTTCCTGTAGTGTAGGTCTGCTGGTGATCAGTTTTCTCAGATGTATGTGAAATGTCTTTATTTCCTCTTCATTTTTGAAGGGTACTTTCATTGGATATAGACTTCTGTGTTGAATTTCTTTATTTTAGCCCTTTCCTGTTTATTTCATTGTCTTCTGTTCTTTATTGTTCTTCACAGAAAGTCAATGCCATTCGTACTTCTCTTCCCTTCCTATGTATAATGTTGTATTAGTTCTCACACTGCTATAAAGATACTACCTGAGACTGGGTAATTTATAAAGGAAAGTGGTTTACAGTTCCACATGGCTGGGGAGGCCTCAGGAAACTTACAATCATGGTGGAAGATGAAGGAGAAGCAAGGACCTTCTTTACATGGTGGCAGGAGAGAGAAGTACAAGCAGGGGAAATGCCAGAGGCTTGCTTATAAAACCATCAGATCTTGTGAGAACTCACTATCATGAGAACAGCATGGGGAAACACCCCCATGATCCAGTCACCTCCTTCCCTTGACATGTGGGATTACAATTTAAGATGCAATTTGGCTGGGGATGCAGAGCCAAACCATATAAAATGTGTTGTTTTTCTCTCATTGCTTTCAATATTTTATCTTTATTTTTAGATGTCACAAGTTTGCCTATGATGTACCTGGTTGTTGTTTGTTTGTTTTTGGGGACAAAGTCTCACTCTGTTGCCCAGGCTGGAGTGCAGTGGCACGATCTTGGCTCACTGAAACCTCCGCCTCCCGGGTTCAAGTGATTCTCATGCCTCAGCTTCCTGAGGAGCTGGGATTACAGGCATGAACCACCACGCCCAGCCTTGTTTGTTTTTTATCCTGCTTGAGGTTTAGTGAACTTCTTGGATCTGTAAGTTGATGTCTTTCACCAAATTTGAAATTTTTTAGCTGTTATTTCTTTCAAATATATATTCTGTCTCATATTTTCTCCTGTCCTTATAGGACTCTAATTACCTATCTGCTAGACTGCTTGGTACCCATTCTCTGAGTCTCTGTTCTTTTTTTTTTTTTTTTTTTTTTTTAGTCTTTTTCATTTCTCTTCTTCGGATTGGATAATGTCTAGATCTATCTTCAAGTTCACTGATGCTTCTGCCATCTCCAATCTTCTTTTAATTCTTTCTAGTGAATTTTTTTTTTTGAGACTGTCTTGCTCTGTCACCCAGGCTGTAGGGTGATGGTGCAGTCTTGGCTCACTGCAACCACCGTCTCCCGAGTTCAAGCAGTTCTCCTGCCTCAGCCTCTGGAGTGCTGGGATTACAGGTGTGCACCACCACGCCTGGCTAATTTTTGTATTTTTAGTGGAGACAGGGTCTCACCATGTTGGCCAGGCTGGTCTGGAACTCCTGACCTCAAGTGATCCACCCACCTCAGCCTCCCAAAGTGCTGGGATTACAGGCATGAGCCACCGTGTCCGGCCCCAATGAATTTTTCATTTTAATTGTTATACTTTTAAGCTCTAGAATTTCCATTTGGCTCTTTTTTCTTTGGTTCTTTTCATAGTGTCTCTTCTGAGGTTCACTATCTGCTTACTCATTATGTGTATGTTTTCTTTTAAGTTCCTGAACACATTTCAGCTGCATTAAACTAGTTGTTTAAATTCAGGTCCTCTTAGGGTCTGTTTCTATTCCCTGCTTTTTCCCCCATTGTGGATCTCATTTTCCCATTTTGTTCTCATTGCTGCTGATTTTTTATTAAATAATGGACACCATAGATAATATATTGTAAAGTCTGGATTCTGTTGTATTTCTCTGAATAATTTTTTTTTTTTTGTAGCTGGCGTTTAACTTAACTGTATTCAAAATTCCAAACTCTTATCTCCTGTTGTTGGCAACATTTATTCTTTGCTGGGTTTTATCGCATACATATGTAATTTCGTTGTCAGCCAAGGAATTTAGTGGTCAGTCAAATATTTGACTGGGTTTCATATGCAGATTTTGGGGTACCTTCTGTGGCTTCTTCTCTTGCAAGATTTCCTCTCTAACTTCTAATTTTCTGGTGATACAAGTTCTGAACATTTTGCTGTAGCTCCTCAAGCCAGTGAGGCTCTGACTTCCTGCCACTCCAAGAGACACAGATTAGGTAGTGCTCTCAAGCCAAAGTTAGACTTGCAAATCTCAGAGATACAATTCCTGTATTCCAAGAGTAGATTCTTCCAGATTCTGTCTTTCTCCCTCCCCAAAATACTGTCAGACAGTATATTTTGTCCGGACTTTGTAATGTGTTATCTGTGGGGAGGTTAGTCATGTAATGGATTGCTAAAATGTACCATATCCATTTGCTGTGCTCAGACATTTCTGATTTTTTTTTTTTTTTGAGACGGAGTCTTGCTCTGTTGCCCAGGCTGGAGTGCAGTGACAAAATCTCGGCTCACTGCAAGCTCCACCTCCTGGGTTCTAGCAATTCTCCTGCCTCACCCTCCCAAGTAGCTGGGACTACAGGCGCCTGCCACCATGCCCGGCTAATTTTTTTGTATTTTTAGTAGAGATGGGGTTTCACCATGTTAGCCAGGATGGTCTCAGTCTCCTGACCTTGTGATCTGCCTGCCTCGGCCTCCCAAAGTCCCAAAGTGCTGGGATTACAGGCGTGAGCCACCGTGTCTGGCCTCTGATGGTTTTTTAAGGGCCATAAAATAATCTGTTACCTGGAGATAGGTTGGAATGGAATGAGTAAAATACTGGAAGTAGGGTGTCAGGCCATCATAGCAGAGCAGGCAATACGTATTGTGAAAATCTGTGACTGTTACTATGTTATATTAATAGATCAAACGTAGTTTTCTACAAAATATAGAATTCTGTTTTCTTGTATACATCTGCAGAAATAGTATAAAAATAAAAATGTGGTTGTCCATTGCTGGAATTATATGAGTGAGATAGTATACAGCTTACTTTTAGTTAAGCTAACACAATTTTTTCTTTTGTACATCAAGAGTTTCCTAAAGTGTTGATACTGCTGAGACCTTTCTTGACTTCTTTTATTCATCCCTGAAAAAATCATGTAAATAGTAAATGAGAACTGGAGAAAAAATTCAAAATGGAAACCTCTTTCATAAATAAATTTTTGTCCTCTTTTAAAGTAATTGAAGATACTTTTGGTCTCTTCCTGTCATTTTCTCAAGACTCAAAATTGGCTAAACTAGAAATTATGTAAGATCACTACAAATAAGTGACAGAGAACCCTAAAAGCTTTTTGGCAGCTACTGTATCCATAATGATTTAGTCATGTGACTTGAATTTATGGTTCTTGCCTTCCAAATGGCAGCCCTTGCTTGGGAGAGCTTTGAGGTTCAAGAATGCTGACACAGTGGAATATGGGTCACAGAACTTTTTCTCTGGGTATTACACTTGAAATTTAGTTCATTAATTTTAAGTTTGGATTGCAGTGGGTTAATCTGTATGTCTTAAACAGTTTTCAAATCCGTTCCTTTTTTCAGGTCATAAATAAAGTTCATCTTAAGGCAAATCATGTGGTCAAGAGAGATGTTGATGAGCATTTAAGAATCAAGACTGTCTATGATAAAAGTGTTGAAGAGTAAGTACACCATTGTATTGTCATCTTTTTCATTATTAATCTAAATGTTAAAGATATTTTTGTCTGTTACCTGAAGTTCTAAGAATCCATAGATAAAACTTAAGGACTAGTGTAGCTTCAAAATGGAATTAAGCTGAAAATGCATTTTAGTCTGAAAATATGAAAGCCATGGGATATGATTAAAGTCTTTATGAATAATTTTCTTTTACCATCTTCCTTTCCTGGTCAATCATGAATAATTTAAACAGAACAAATGTGGATCTACTTGGATGTGGACAGTAACAGACCTGGAAGGTACTCTTCAATAAGTACTAGTGTTACCAGAAAGAGGTCTGGCCCAGATTCCAGGAGAGGGTTCTTGGATCTCTCATGAGAAAGAATTAGAAGCAAATCCATAGAGTAAAGTGAAAGCAAGGTTATTAGAAAAGTAAAGGAATAAAAGAATGGCTGCTCCATAGGCAGAGCAGGCCCAAGGCCTGCTGGTTGCCCATTTTTATGGTTATTTCTTGATTACATGTGCTATGCCTCTGAGAGATAATCCTTATGTTTTTATGTCATTATTTTCAGGTTGCTCCCTGAGAAAAAGAATCTTGTAAAGGTATGTAATAAATACTCATAACTTGAATTGGACACTTAAAATTTTATTGCATGGAAATTCTACTTCAGTAAAGAAAAATATATACATGACTTTTGTGACTGAATGAAAGGTGTTGGTAGTGAAAGTGCTGATCATTTCACAAAAGGTGTCTTTGTGATGCTCTCATGAAAACTTTGTTGGTATTGGGCATTAAATTAGTCTTTTTTTGTAATTTGATAATCAGTTTTCTCATTTTTCTGCTTGCTTTCTCAAGTTTTTGGGGAGCAAATCATGCAGAGAATAGGGTGAAAAACAATTTTTGAAACACATTGACAACACTGTTCTCTTGGTGGAAATGTTTATTTTCCTGAGGATTGATTTACCTGATAACCACATCAGATTTTTAACTGTGTGGAGACACACACACATGCACGCATGCACACACACGCGCACGTGCACGCACACACATGCGCACATGCACGCACACATGCACACACACAAAGCCAGTTCACTATGGGCGACAGAAATTGATGACTTTAATTAAAGGTAAGATTTTCTTAACATAAACTATCTTAGTGTTGGAATCATCTAAGTTAGTCCATCATTCATAGTAATCTAGATTAATAGTTGAGATATATCACAGTTTTGTTAAAGGTGTAGTATCGAAGGAAATTAATATTTAATTAAAAATAAAAAATAGTTGAGATATATGTTTTCTGGCTTTCTATTTAAATGGGGCTAGGGAAGGAAATTTCTGCCTAATGCTGTTTTCCCAAGCTGAACTAGAAAATGGGGGAAATTCTTTTCCTCCTAGACTTACTCTCTTCCTACCCCTTGCCATACAACCTTGACTAACTAATATCTGTATTCCAGAATTATAAAGCTTTTTTTCATTACTATCCTGTGTTTGCTTCTTTTAAATATAATTTATCTCTTCCTTATAATTCTGTTTCTTTTTTTTTTTAACTTTTATTTAGAACAAGCTTTTCCCACAAGCGATTTCTTATTTAGAGAAGACTTTTCAGGTCCGTCGACCTGCGGGCACTATCTTACTTAGCAGGTATGTCACATGAAACACAGATCATTTTCTTCAGCCGTTTAGTACTCTGCCTTTCTCGTTCTATGAACATGGCAAGGTATGAAACTTATACTAGAATTTTATTATGCTTGTTCTTAGGGACCTAACTGCAAGGTATTTAAAAAGAATAAAAAAGCACCTGCTGGATAATCATTCTTTCCCTGACCTTTCATTGTGAGATGGTCTACTGAATTTTTTCTGGGTGTAGTTGTCCCCTGTTCTCCAGATCACCTTTTTCCCTCTTTCATGTGGATACAGTGTTGGCTTTATGAAGTATTTGGGTGTTTAAAAACCCAAATCAAGAGGATTTCCTATAGAACCCAAATTCTTTCTTAGCTACTTTCCTGACTAAAATAGTAACATTATTAATGAAGTAATATAGCAGCTACCAGTTGGTTTCCATGTTTTTAACTGCTATAAAATATTCTCTTTTTTGTATTTAAACTTTGATGTACAAATGGACTGAAGACAATGTGCAACAAACCAATACCTCCGGAAGGAAAACGATCCTCACAGGTACTGCACCGGGGAGTGTGCCGCACACACAAAGTGCGGCCCCGTTATTGTTCCTGAGGAACATCTCCAGGTATTTCACCCTGCTCTTGGCAGTGCTTTTACACCTGAGGAGATTTTGAATTTGTGAGTGTCACAGAATTTTTACAGATTCAAGTTCAAAGGCTTAGTAGCTTCCTTGGTCTACAAAAAGTAACCACAGATATGCTGATTTTATTCTTTCATTAGCTTTCAAGTGAGTTTAATGGTATTTTCTTTCTTCACTCCTCCCCACAGGCCTCCTTGCCCCTGTTTATCTTGGTCTGCTGAATCACTTTAGCTTAGAACATTATCTTGTCTTCCAAAATATCTTTTAGCAAGGCATATATCTCAGTTTGTTAAAGGACAGTCTGACATCTCTTAAGATAAAAAATATGTATGCCTCAACCCAACCTAGAAATTTATTCCACAAAATACTAATGGCTACGTAATATATGTTTAAAGGTGTTCTTTGCAAAACTATAAATATGCCTATTTAGGGTATATTTATGTTAAGTTATGGTATAACCACGTAGTAGAATACTGTGCAGTTGTTAAAAAGTGAAGGAGATCTCTATGTACTGACTTGGAAAGATGTTTAACCTCTTACATGAAAAAAATGTTGCGAATCAGTATGCAGTTAGCCCATTTTATTTGAAAGTATAGAAACACAGACAATAAAAAAATGATCAAACAATCTGGAAGTACACACGTTAAATCTGGGTACATATAAAATCATCAAACAATCTGGAAGTACACACATGTTAAACCTGGATACATAAAAAATTATCAAACAATCTGGAAGTACACACACGTTAAATCTGGATACATATAAAAATGATCAAACAATCTGGAAGTATACACACGTTAAATCTGGATACATATAAAAATCATCAAACCATCTGGAAGTATACACACGTTAAATCTGGATACATATAAAAATTATCAAACAATCTGGAAGCACACACTTGTTAAATCTGGATACATATAAAAATCATCAAACAATCTGGAAGTATACACACGTTAAATCTGGATACATATAAAAAATCACCAAACAATCTGGAAGTATACACACGTTAATTCTGGATACATATAAAAATCATCAAACAGTCTGGAAGTATACACACGTTAAATCTGGATACATACAAAAATCATCAAACAGTCTGGAAGTACACACACGTTAAATCTGGATACATATAAAAATCATCAAACAATCTGGAAGTATACACACGTTAATTCTGGATACATATAAAAATCATCAAACAATCTGGAAGTATACACACGTTAAATCTGGATACATATAAAAATTATCAAACAATCTGGAAGTACACACACGTTAAATCTGGATACATATAAAAATCATCAAACCATCTGGAAGTATACACACGTTAAATCTGGATACATATAAAAATTATCAAACAATCTGGAAGCACACACACGTTAAATATGGATACATATAAAAATCATCAAACAATCTGGAAGTATACACACGTTAAATCTGGATACATATAAAAATCATCAAACATCTGGAAGTATACACACGTTAATTCTGGATACATATAAAAATGTTAATCATTTCTTTAAGAGATTGTTGGGGAAAGTGCTTTTCTTTCATAAGTTATGGAGATTTTTGTGATGTTCTGAGTTTTCTTATTGAACATCTATTACTTATATCAAAAAAATAAAAAATTTAGGCCGGGCACAGTAGCTTACACCTGTAGTCCCAGTACTTTGGGAGGCCAAGGCAGGCAGATTGCTTGACTCCGGGAGTTTAAGACTAGCCTTGGCAACATTGTGAAACCCTGTCTCTACAAAAAATACAAAAAGTTAGCCAGGATTGGTGGTGTGCACCTGTGGTCCCAGCCACTTGGGAGGCTGTGGTGGGAGGATTGCCTGAGCTGGGGACGTGGAGGTTGCAGTGAGCTATGATCTTCCCACTGTACTCCAACCTGGGTGACAGAGTGAGACCCTGTCTCAAAAATAATTAGATAAATAATAATATCTCAGACTATGCCTAAGCTAAGCTAGTGCTTAATAAAAAACTACAAGGTCAGGCACGGTGGCTTATGCTTATAATCCCAGCACTTTAGGGGGCTGAGGTGGGCGGATCACCTGAGGTCAGGAGTTCAAGACCAGCCTGGCCAACACGGTGAAACCTTCTGTCTACTAAAGATACAAAAGTTAGCTGGGCATGGTGGTGGGTGCCTGTAGACCCAGTTCCTCAGGAGGCTGAGGCAGGAGAAGCTTGAACCCTGGAGGCGGAAGTTGCAGTGAGCCCAGGTCACATACCACTGCACTCCAGCCTGGGCAACAGAGCAAGACTCCAACTCTGGCTCAAAACAAAACTAAACTAAACTAAATAAATAAATAAGAATACAGCATATTGTCATTAACCATAGTCACTGTGCTTTACAACAGAACTCTTGAACTTATTCCTTCTAACTATAAACATGTATTCTTTGACCAACATCTCCTCAGCTCCCACTCCCTAAAGTAATTGATTTTAAAAATTATAAATGCATGTGTTAGAGAAGGAAGAATAAACAATGTGTATTTTCTATTAAATGAAATGAGAATTTGTTTTTTTTCCCTCTACAAGTATTGCTTACACCTTAAAAATAATAATTTACTGATTTTTCTGTTTCTAATTTGGAGATTATGATTACTTGGGAATTCTGATAGAAGTAGCTTTCAAAAAAGTGACCATTACAGAGGCAAATAAGATTTGCTGGGCAAGGTGCGGTGACTCACGCCTGTAATCCCTAATCCCTGCACTTTGGGAGGCCAAGATGGGGGTATTGCTTGAGGCCAGGAGTTTGAGACCAGCCTGGTCAATATAGTGAGACCCCGTCTATATATATTTAAAAAATTTTTAGGCTGGGTGCAGTGGCTCATGCCTGTAATCCCAGCACTTTGGGAGGCCGAGACAGGCCGATCACAAGTTCAGGAGTTCGAGACCAGCCTGGCCTATATGGTGAAACCCTGTCTCTACTAAAAATATAAAAATTAGCTGGGCATGGTGGCAGGCACCTGTAATCCCAGCTACTTGGGGGGCTGAGGCAGGAGAGAGCCGAGATCACGCCACTGCATTCCAGCCTGGGTGACAGAGTGACTCCACCTCAAAAAAAATTTTGTTTTTAATAATAAAAGATTTGCTTAGAAGATTAGAAACAAGGGGAGATGACTCATACCTTTATATTGTTTGAATTTTTAACAAGATGTGGATTGCATTATAATAGGAAATATATTTCCATTAGGTAAGATTTTTTTTACCACTTAGTTTAGAATTAATTGTAGATTCAAAGAAAGTTGAAAAAAAAGCTACTTTTAGGGAAATCCCTTCATCTAGTTTCAGAGTTTTAAAACCTTTTATATTTCTGTCTTTTCAGCGTCCTGTTTGGTTGGCCTTCCTTTGTAAATAGGAATTATTTAATTGAGATTATAGGTTTATGATCATTTTATGTAAAGTGGACATTTCATTAAAATAAATTCAGAATTAGAGCTAGGTATTGAGTAGACAGGGAGGTATGGATTTTGATAAAAGTTTAGGGATAATAAAGATTAAATTGTACTGTGTTTATAGTGTAGATTTTACTATAAGATTAAATGCCACTACAGCTAACTTTGTCTCTGTTCTGGCTTTCTGATGTCTCCCGTGGGTGCAGCAATGCCGGGTCTACCGTGGGGGTAAGTGGCCTCATGGAGCAGTGGGTGTGCCAGACCAAGAAGGCATCTCAGATGCAGACTTTGTTCTTTACGTTGGTGCTCTGGCCACCGAGAGATGCAGCCATGAAAACATCATCTCTTATGCAGCCTATTGTCAGCAGGAAGCAAACATGGACAGGTAATCTTTCCTCCGGGACTTAGTTTCCAAGATCTAATGTGGGAACTCTTAAAGCAAACTGTATTTTTAGTGTTAAGATTACAGGAATCTTGCATTTGCCAGATTGCCTCTGGTAGACAGGAATAGCATGCTGCCTGGGTTTGGAGTGGGGTTAGGAGACCGTGATTAGACTGTTATTAATGTGATAACCCAAGTTTTTAGTCAAAGTGAAAGAGAGAAAAGTGAAGCACTTCGTTTGACTTTTCTGCCTGCCGTTCCTCTTCCATTTTGATCCTATCGTTTTTGCCTAAATTCCAAAGAAAAAGTCTGCTGTCAAGTGGGCCAAGTGTGGTGGCTCACGCCTGTAATCCTAGCTCTTTGGGAGGCTGAGGTGGGAGGATCACGTCAGCCCAGGAGCTCGAGACCCGCTTGGGCAACATAGTGAGAACTCATCTTGACAAAAAATAAAATTGGCCAGGTGTGGTGGCATGCACCCGTGGTCCCAGCTACTCAGGGGGCTGAGGTGGGAGGATTGCTTGAGCCTGAGAGGTTGAGGCTACAGTGAGCTGTGATCATGCCACTGCACTCCAGCCTGGGCACCAGAGTGAAACCTTGTCCCTCACAAAAAAGAAAAAACAAAATGGCTGGGCGCGGTGGCTCACACCTGTAATCCCAGCTCTTTGTGAGGCTGAGGCGGGTGGATCATGGTGAAACTCTGTCTCTACAAAAAATGCAAAAATTAGCCAGGAGTGGTGGTGTGTGCCGGTAGTCCCAGCTGCTCAGGAGGCTGAGGTGGGAGGATTGCTTAAGCCTGGGAGGTGGAGCTTGCAGAGAGCTGTGATTACACCACTGCACTCCAGCCTGGACCACAGAGCCAGACCCTGTGTCCAAAAAACAACAATAATAATGATAAGTCCACTGTCAAGAGAATTTTCTTTCCAGGTGACTCCTGCTCTAAGGCAACAATTTGAACTTTAATTTTAGGACTTCTGTGCTAAAACTGTGAAGAAAGGTGTTAATAATGACTGTTCATCTAATTGTCATGTAATTTGTTATATGTGATTCACTTAGCTAAACATCACTTAGACATTCAGAGTTCTCTTCATTTACAAAAGATTTCAAACATTTTTCCTGTGAAGCAGCTTAGCTTTGAAATGAAAAGTTATATATGCAGAAGATTGCCTGTCACACACTAGACAAATCAAGTAAAGGCAGTAGAAATTGCCATATGTCTCAGAATAGATTGTATATAACATTCTCAGATCTAGGTGAGATTAGATTTGAGATTAGCGATTAGCTGACTTCAAAGGGAGTCAGCTAGTCTTTTTTTTTTTTTTTGGAGACATAGTCTCGCTCTGTCACCCAGGCTGGAGTGCAGTGGCGTGATCTTGGCCCACTGCAACCTCTGCCTCCCGGGTTCAAGCGATTCTCCTGCCTCAGCTTCCCAAGTAGCTGGAACTACAGGTGTGCGCCACTGCGCCCAACTAATTTTTGTATTTTTAATAGAGACAGGGCTTTCACTATGTTGGCCAGGCTGGTCTTGAACCCCTGACCTCAGGTGATCTGCCTTCCTTGGCCTCCCAGAGTGTTAGGATTACAGGTGTGAGCCACTGTGCCTGGCCTCAGCTCGTGTTTTGACCGATAGATGGATGTTTAACACCTCAGCAGTGGTCCTTTTATGCACAGGAATTAGTTAACTAACTTCTCCTAGATTTGTTAAAAGAAAAAGCAGTTACCTTCTTTTTTTTTTTTTTTTTTTTGAGACGGTGTCTCACTCTGTTGCCCAGGCTGGAGTGCAATGGCATGATCTCGGCTCACTGCAGCCTCGACCTCCTGGGTTCAAGTGATTCTCCTGCCTTAGCCTCCTGAGTAGCGGCGACTACAGGTGCGCACCACCACGCCTGGCTAATTTTTGTATTTTTAGTAGAGACAAGGTTTTGCCATGTTGGTCAGGCTGGTCTTGAACTCCTGACCTCTGGTGATCCACCTGCCTTGGCCTCCCAAAGTGCTGGGATGACAGGCATGAGCCACCACGCCCGGCCTTAAGTTCTTCTTTTTCAAGGAAGTGAAACCTTCCTTCACAATTGCTATATTGCATTAATTCATTTCATGAATATTTGAGCGGCCAACAGATGAGGTAAACAAAGTATAGATGTGTATCTGCCTCATGGAACTTATGAATTGCAGAGGGAGACAGGTATTAAATATTCCTGCAAATAAATATGTGATTTCAAAGTATGATAAATACTTCATAGAAAATAAATAGAATGTTGTAACATAGAGGAGAATAAAAGAGGAAACACCTTGTAGATCAATTGAACAAGGAAGACCTCTTTGAGAAAGTGAAACGTTAGCTGCAACCTGAACATTGATAGGCTGTAGCCAAATAGAGAGATGTGGGGAGAGCTTGTGAAGGCAGAAGCCATGTACACCTGTTGCTTCAGGAGCCCCTCAGTGGACACTGTCGGAGGACAGGTGCTTTGACAGGCAGACAGGATTGTTTTCTTCCAAGTGCTGCAGGAAGCCCCTGAAGAGTTTTAAGCCTGGAAGTGAAATCCATTTTATATTTTAGAGGTCACTGTGGCAATTTTTAAATAAAAGAATTGTATTCATACTTTTTCTAATTCTGTGTCTGTTGCTATTACCTATGAAGAAAATATAAAGTATTTAACAATTTAAATAAGATAAATGTACTTTATAAATAGTCAGTTATACTTTGATGAGGTTTGTGGTGTTTCTATGTAAGATGTTAAGATAGTGGTAGGAGAACTGAGCTTGGGGTTCCTCAGCATTGTTCATTGGCTGCAGCTTTTGAAAGACAGGGAGGCGCATGGTGGAACTGAATTACTCTGGACTCTTGAGTCCTAGTCTGCCTTTGGACTTGCAGGTTCTAGGCACAGAGAGAGATGTAGAAGTGTGTAGATTCTAAAGGGTGTAGAATTTGGAAGAAGATGATGGGATGGTAGAAATATTTATGTGAATGTAGGCAGTGTTGGAGCAGGAGAAAGGGAATAGCAAACAGATAAGAAGGGCCAGCGACTTTCAGCAATCTGAACCACTCATTTATTGCCCCATTTGATAACTGCTTTCCTCTCTACCTGCTTGTCTCTGTGCCCGTAGATATACTGAAATGCTGAAGTTAAATATGGATTTTGCAACTAAAATAGTGTTAGAATTTGAGCCTTTCAGTTCGTTCTTTTTTGGGTATTATATTGATATATTTCAAAAATTCATATTAAAGTATAATCAAGTATGTCCTTTTGTGGAAACAGGGGTTGATTTGCCATGCCATAGGAAAGCAGAGGATACATGTCTTAAAAGTAAGATAGTGATGGTACAAAATTGCATTGGATACTTTGCAAAGATTTTTCTGTCCTTGAGCAGTATTTGATGGAGAAGTAAATGTTAATAAATATTGTTCTGGAATGTAATTTAAAAATTCAATGTCTGTTTTGACAGGCCAATAGCAGGATATGCTAACCTGTGTCCAAATATGATCTCTACCCAGCCTCAGGAGTTTGTTGGGATGCTGTCCACAGTGAAACATGAGGTTATTCATGCCCTGGTAAATTCTAGCCTTACTGTTCTTTCCTTCATGCCTTGATTTTCTGCTTAGTATGTTCTCATTTTTATACATATATTCCACTTTAAGATGATGTGGATTCCTAGACTCATGTTCGTGCACATGTACCCTAAAACTTAAAGTATAATAATAATAATAAAAAATTCAAAAATTAGCGGGGCATGGTGGTGTGCACCTGTCGTACCAGCTACTTGGGAGGCTGAGGTGGGAGGATGGCTTGAGCCCAGGGAGGTTGAGGCTGCAGTGAGCCGAGATTGTGCCACTGCACTCCAGCCTGGTGGTAGAGGCCGACTTTGTATCAAACAAACAAACAGAAAGATTTATAAAGCTTTTTCCTCTTTTAAAATTCTAAGATTGAAAAATGAACAATACTGAAAGGCCTTTGGAAGTATATAGATACGGCAGAGCCCTGGGCTGCTGCTGCTGCTGTTTGTTTGTTTTTTGAGGCCCCATGATGGCCCACTGCAGCCTCAGCCTCCTGGGCTCAAGTGATCCCACCTTAGCCTCCCAAGTAGCTGGGACTACAGACATGTGCCACTACACTTGGCTAATTTTTTTTTTTGATAGAGATAAGGTCTCGCTATGTTGCCCAGGCTGGTCTCAAACTCCTAGGCTCAAGTGATCCTCCTGTCTCAGACTCCTAAAGTGTTGAGATGAGAGGGGTGAGCCACTATATCCAGCCCTCTGCTGCTGCAACCTCCTGGGCTCAAATGATCCTCCCACCTCAACCTCCAGAGTAGCTGGGACCACAGGCACGCACCACCATGCCCTGCTAATTTTTGTATTTTTAGTAGAGATGGGGGTCTCGCCATGTTGCCCAGGCAGGTCTTGAACTCCCGGGCTCAAGTGATCCCCCCCGCCTCAGCCTCCCAAAGTGCTGGGATTACAGGCATGAGCCACCGCGCCCAGCCCTTCTGCTGCCGCTTCTGATAACCATGTGAAAATCCTTATAGGGAGAAAGTAGTAATGACTTGCCACTTCCTCAAATTAAAGGAAAGGAAAGTGTCAGCTAAATATTTTTTTACATGTTTATTTGAACACATACGAATGTTTATCTTCCCAGTAATTTTTAAGTAAATTTATTGTAAGCAAGTGTCAGTCTTGGCCACGTATCTCAGTGTCCAGCTTCCATCTTTTCAGCTCTGGTCCAGCTCTTGTTCAGAAGTGATACCTGATAGCTGATAGCTTCTCAAAAAAGGAAGAAGGGCCGGGCGCGGTGGCTCTCGCCTGTAATCCCAGAACTTTGGGAGGATTCTTCTATATATATAAGAAGGCCAAAATAACTTTAAAACGCAGACAGACTTTCAAAACCATTTCATAATGTACACACACACACACACACACACACACACACACACACAGAGCAAACAGGAATTAAAAACACAACAGCTGGTGTTCTTTATGGTTTTAAAATTCTAGTCGTGCTTGGAAATATAATTATACGACAGTAATTAATGTTTGTAGTATTTCTACTGAATATAAATTTAAAATATATAATACATTTTAGAAAATTTCTCGTTAGAAATATTTACCTCAAGTAATCAGAATTTAAAATTTATAAATATGGAACACTTAATTGTTGTTCAATTCCAGCGTAGGAGAAGTTCCTACAGAAGCACTGGCGTGGTGCTTCTACGTTCCCGTTAGTATCAGTGCTCTCTTTTGATCGCAGGCCTGTAATCAGCCTTGATGTTTTTCACTTGAAGACATTTTGAACTTTTTCTTACAGGGTTTCTCTGCTGGGCTGTTTGCATTCTACCATGATAAAGATGGAAATCCTCTCACTTCAAGATTTGCAGATGGCCTCCCACCTTTTAATTATAGGTATTTTTGTTGTTGTTGCTCTTGTTCTCCTCTTTTAGGAGGGTGCTAAGACTAGAATCTGAGAATCACAGTATATTAGATGCCATAAATAATAATGTCTTCATGGCAAACCTAAGGAAATTGTAGATATTAAAACAAAATGGGATATAAGAGGCCATTTTATGAAAACATAACTTGTGAGATGTAAGTGAGGAGGAGAGAGATACCCACACACAAGAACCATTCTTAAGCTGATAATTTGCAGTGCTTCCTTGCATTGAGGATATTCCTCAAAAGCATCAAACCTTCCGGCCAGGCACAATGGCTCATGCCTGTAATCCTGCACTTTGGGAGGCCAAGGTGGGCTGATTGCTTGAGCCCATGAGTTCAAAACCTGCCGGGCAGCGTGGCAAAACCCTGTCTCTACAAAAAAATACAAAAATTAGCCAGGCATGGTTGCATGCGCCTGTAGTCCCAGCTACTTGGGGTGCTGAGCAGAAGGATCAATTCAGCTCAGGAGGCTGAGGCTACAGTGAGCTGTGATGACGCATCTGCACTCCAGCCTGGGTGACAGAGTGACTGTCTCAAGAAAAAAAAGAGAAGCCTTCCAGTAAAAACGAAGATAATAGAGTAATAAATTCAGTTGTTACAGATATAAAGAATTGGATTTTGCTTTAACTGTATTTGGGGAAACTGTTAATCTTGAAGTATGAATGATAAAGAGAGATTGGAGTGATTAATAAGGTAAAAACTTTATTTTCTGGCTGGCTTTGTTCACTACTTATGTGTAAACGTTGCCTTGCCATGGAAAAACAGGAATTAAAAACAACCTCTCTAAGGCATGGTTAGATGAACAGATAACGTGATAACAAATACAACAAAATGTTAATTACAGAATCTAGGTGAGCTGGTTGATTATAAGGGTGTTTAGTAAACAATTCTTTTAATGTTCTGTATGTTTGAAAATTTTTTTTCTTTTTTTTTTTTTTTGAGACAGTCTCGCTCTGTCGTTCAGGCTGGAGTGCAGTGGTGTGATCTCGGCTCACTGCAAGCTCCGCCTCCAGGGTTCACGCCATTCTCCTGCCTCAGCCTCCCTAGTAGCTGGGACTACAGGCACCTGCAACCATGCCCGGCTAATTTTTGTATTTTTAGTAGAGACGGGGTTTCACCATGTTGGCCAGGCTGGTCTCGAACTCCTGACCTCAGGTGATCTGCCCGCCTCGGCCTCCCAAAGTGTTGGGATTACAGGCATGAGCCACCGCACCCGGCCTATGTTTAATATGTTTGAATTTTTTTTTTTTTTTTTTTGAGACGGAGTCTCGCTCTGTCGCCCAGGCTGGAGTGCAGTGGTGCAATCTCGGCTCAGTGCCAGCTCCGCCTCCTGGGTTCACGCCATTCTTCTGCCTCAGCCTCCCAAGTAGCTGGGACTACAGGCGCCTGCCAACACGCCCGGCTGATTTTTTGTATTTTTAGTAGAGACAGGGTTTCACCATGTTAGCCAGGATGATCTCGATCTGCTGACCTCGTGATCCACCCCTCTCGGCCTCCCAAAGTGCTGGGATTACAGGCGTGAGCCACCGCGCCCGGCCAAAATTTTTACAAAACAGTATTGGAAAAGAAAACCCTCTTTATATTTTCTGTTCTTTTACTGAGAATGAAAGATTTATAGGGAAAATGGTAGAAGTAGTCTAGGGAATAAGCCAGAAAAAAAATGACTTAGGTTACAGGGAAAAATAAAAATTGATATCCATCGTAATTTTCTATAATAGATAAATGTGTTACTTTTGTAGTAGTGCTTTTATTTATGCAGGGTAGATTTCCCAAACTGGGATTGCTGATTTAAAATCTGTTTACACTATAAATTTTAATAGAAACTGCCATGTTACATTTTTTTTAAAAGGTATAGCAAAGCACATTCCCACCAGGTGTGTATGAGTGCTTTTGTTACCACTTTATCAGTATCGGATATTATAGATCTTTTTTATTTTTAAGCCCAATTTGATGGATTAAAAGATGGTATCTCATTGTTGTATTTCCAGGACTATAGTGAGGTTTTAGCCATTTGCATTTTCTCTTTGTACACTGCCTATTTATTTTCCTTGTCCAGTCTTTTAGGTTAATTTTCCCTTTCTAATCACGTTGTAGGAGTTCTTTATAAATTAGAGATATTACTCCTTTTTCATGCTTATTATAAATATTTCTCCTAGTTTATCTTTTTATTTCATTTATCATGCTTTTGCCATGTATAGAAAAGTTTTTAAGTTTTTTATCATTAAATTCATCTATCTTTTTTTTTTTGAGATGGAGTCTCACTATATTGCCCAGGTGGGTCTCGAACTCCTGGGCTCAGGCAAGCTTCCTGCCTCCGTCTCTCAAGCAGCTGGGACTACGGTCACATGCCACTGTACCCCGATGTTTTTTTCTTTGTTGCTTAAGGCCTCAAAAGATTATAAAAATATTCTCCTACATTTATTCTAGTAAATTATTATTCGATTTCTTTACATTTATAGCTTCAATGCATTTGAAATTTTTTTTGATTTATGTATTTTGGGATTCTTTTGTAAGGTGCATATATGTTTATAATTGTTATATCTTTATGCTGGATTTACCCCTTTTTTTTTTTTTTTTTTTTTTTTGAGGCAGGGTCTCACTCTGTTGCCCAGGCTGCAGTGCAGTGGCACAATCATGATCACGGCTTACTGCAGTGTTGATCTTCCCAGGCTCAGGTGATCTTCCCACCTCAGCCTCCTGAGTAGCTGGGACTACAGGAGTGTGCCACCATGCTCATCTAGTTTTTTATTTTTATTTTAAATTTATTTTATTATTTTTTGAGATGGAGTCTCACTCTGTTACCCAGGCTGGAGTGCTGTGGCGCGATCTCGGCTCACTGCAACCTCCATTTCCCAGGTTCAAGTGATTCTCCTGCCTCAGCCTCCCGAGTAGCTGGGATTACAGGCATGTGCCACCACACCTGGCTAATTTTTGTGTTTTTAGTAGAGACGGAATTTCACCATGTTTGCCAGGTTTGGTCTCATACTCCTGACCTCTAGTGATTCGCCCATCTCGGCCTCCCAAAGTGCTGGGATTACAGGTGTGAGCCACTGCACCTGGCCTATGTAGTATATCTTTTTATCCTTTTACTTTCCACCTATTTGTGTTATTTAGTCTAAACTATGTCTCTTGTAGATATATAGTTAGAGCATGTTTTTAAATTCATTTTTCCAATTAACCCTGTTCTGTCTGCTACAGTGTCTGTCAGGTTACTGGTTTTCACCATGATTGTGGGCTGTCGGTTTTCAAGGCTGCCCAAAAGCTGGAGAGAGGGCATGGAAACGCACCACACCGCTCCTGTTTCTACGGAGATTCATCAATTTTTCATGAATAAATGCTTTCTGCATTGCTATAAATCTTTGATTAATTTCCAAAGTTTAAGAAGTTGATTTCACCAAGTTGGGTGGTTTTTTTCATTGCTTTTTTCATAGAGGAGAGAATTTTGAGAGATTTTTACGCTGTCATTTTTGCTTCTGACTTTCTGGAATTTATTTTTGTATGTGGTGAAAAAGGGATTTAACCTTTTTTTTCTAAATGGATAATCAGCACAGTTGTTAGATAAATTCTACTTTCCCACTAAATTAATATGGCATTTTGTTGGTTATGTTTCCTTATATACTTGGATATCTGTGAACTTGCTTTCATTTTATCCTGTACACTTGTCAAAAGGAAGTAATTCATCGTCATCTTAGCCAAGTGCTAGCTATGTGAACTTGAACAAGTTACTTCATCTCCCTGAACTTTTGTCTCTTTATCTGCAAAATAGTGATGATAATCTCATAGGGTTGTTGAAAAGATGAAATTTAAAACACTTATCAGGGCTAGGCCCAGTGGCTCACGCCTGTAATCCCAGAGCTTTGAAAGGCTGAGGTGGAAAGATGGCTTGAGGCCAGGAATTCGAGGCCAGTTTTGGCAAAACATAGCAGATCTTGTCCCAACAAAAAATAAAAAATAAATTGAAAAAAATTTTTCTGGACTGGATTTCATTCTGTCACCCAGGCTGGAGTGCGGCTGTGTGAACATAGCTCACTGCAGCCTTGAACTCCTGGGCTCAAGTGATCCTCTTGCCTCAGCCTCACGAGTAGCTGGGACTACAGGCACACACTACCATGCCTGGCTTATTTTATTTTATTTTATTTTATTTTATTTATTTTGTTTTTGAGACAGGGTTTTGCTCTGTCACCCAGTCTGGAGTGCAGTGGCACGAACATGGCTTACTGCAGCGTCAACCTCCTGGGCTCAAGTGATTCTCCTGCCTCAGCCGCCTGTGTAGCTGGGACCACAGGCCTGCACTACTGCGCCCAGCTAATTTTTAAATTTTTTGTGGAGACAAGGTCTTCCTGTATTGCCTAGGCTGGTATCAAACTCCTGGGCTCAAGCAGTCTTCCCACCTCGGCCTGCTGAGGTGCTGGGATTACAGGTGTGAGCCACTGCACCCAACCAAAAAATTAAATTTAAAAAAATGTAGAAAGGAAAATACTTATCAAGTACTTTGTTTGGACTTGATACATAGGAGGTTCTCAAATATTTTAATTTCATATTGATATTTATAAAGACTTTTTACAGTAAATGTAAATATTTTTATATTTAAAATGGTGAATTTTCAGTAATAATTGTGTTTTAATTCTATAATTACAGTCTGGGATTATATCAATGGAGTGATAAAGTAGTTCGAAAAGTGGAGAGATTATGGGATGTTCGAGATAATAAGATAGTTCGTCACACTGTGTATCTCCTGGTAACGCCTCGTGTTGTTGTAAGTATTATCAGACTTCATGTCTCATGAGCCATCTGTTCTTTTCCTTTACTGTGGTCCTTTCTTTACTCATCATTATTGTTTAAGAACTTATAATTAGAGCCTATAGTAGGAAAAGTCATATAAAGGGAATGCAATGAAGCTACGGGCCACGAGAAATCTGAGGAAATGGAAACTTGGCAATGGCTCTCACAGCTCCTATCCCACCCAGTGCTTTAGGCCAGTGCCTCCTCTGTTGTGATGCCTCTTAGGACCACTGGTACTATTTCTATAATGACTGATCATTTTCTTTGGTGTCTGTATTAGTCAAGGTTCTCCAGAGAAACAGAACCAATAGGATGTGTGTATATATCTATACATCTGTATACACAAAGAAAGAATACGAGAGAGGAGGGGAGGAAGAGATTTCTTTTTTTCTTTTATTTTCTTTCTTTCTTTTTTTTTTTTTTTGATACAGGGTCTCACTCTGTCACCCAGGCTGGAGTGTAGTGTTTTCGGCTCACTGCAACCTCTGTCTCCTGCGCCAAAGTGATCCTCCTACTTCTGCCTCCCGAGTGGCTGAGACTACAGGCACGCACCACCACGCCCAGCTAATTTTGTTTATTTTTTTGTAGTGATGAGGTCTCGCTATGTTGCCCAGGCTGGTCTCGATCTCCTGGGCTCAAGCAGTCCTCCTGCCTCAGCCTCCCAAAGTGCTGGGATTACAGACATGAGTCACCACACTTGGCCAAGAGGTAACTTTTGAGGATTTGGCTCACATGACTGTGGAAGTTGGGCGAGTTCAAATCCGATGGGATAGGCCAGCAGGCTGGAGACTCAGGGGATTGTTGCCCTTGGAGTCCAAAGGCAGAATGACTTCTTATTCAGGGGAGGTCAGTCTTTGTTCTCTTCCGGCCTTCTCCTGATTGGGTGATGCCTACCCACATTATGGAAGGTGATCTTTACTTCAGAGTCCACTCATTGCAATGTTACTCTCATTCCAGAAAACACCTTCACAGAAACATCCAGAATATCTGGGCCAAATATTTGGGTACCATGGCTATTCTCCTTTCCCCTTTTCCTTGACTTTGTACAGCTCTCTGACTTCTAAAGTTCTGCACTGCTCTTGGGCTATTTCCCATCTCTGAAAATCTCTAACTAAAGGACAGATAGAACCCAATGAGCAAGGTTTTATTCTACTGAGCAACTTTTTTTTTTTTTTTTTGAGACAGTTTGCCTCTTGTTGCCCAGGCTGGAGTGCAATGGCACGAGCTCAGCTCAATGTAACCTCTGCCTGCTGGGTTCAAGTGATTCTCCTGCCTCAGCCTCCCAAGTAGCTGGAATTACAGGCTCCCACCACGATGCCTGGCTAATTTTTGTATTTTTAGTAGAGACGGGGGTTTCACCATGTTGGTCAGGGTGAGACCCTGTCTCAAAAAAAAAAAAAAAAAGAAAAAAGGAAATTTCTTCCTCCCCTCATCTCATATTCTTTCTCTGTGTGTACATATATATAGATGTATACACACATCCTATTGGTTCTGTTTCTCCGGAGAACCTTGACTAATACAGACACCAAATGATCAGTCATTATAGAAATAGTACCACGGATCCTGAGGTATCACAACAGAGGGGGCACTGGTGACCTCAGGTGATCCGTGCGCCTTGGCCTCCTGAAGTGCTGGGATTACAGGCGTGAGCCACTGTGTCTGGCCAGAATAGATTTTTTTGGACAGCTAAAAGTGACCAACCTTTAGTTAGACTAAGAAGATGCAAATAACATAAGAAATGAAAGAGGAGACATTACAGCTGATACCACAGAAACACAAAGGATCATGAGAGACTGTTATAAACAATTATATACCAACAAACTGGATAACCTAGAAGAAATGAACAAATTCCTAGACAAATACAACTTATGAAGACTGAATCATGAAGAAATAAAAAATCTGAACAGGTTAATAACGAGTAATGAGATTGAATCAGTAATAAAAGTCTGCCATCAAAGAGAAGCCCAGGACCAGGTTCACTGCTGAATTTCACCAAATGTTTAAAGAAGAACTAATAATCCAGTCCTTCTCAAACTTTTCCAAAAAATTGAAGAGGAGGGATTACTTCCAGACTTTTTTTTTACCAGGGCAGCAATACTCTAATAACAAATTTAGACAAGGCCATAAGAAAAGAAAATTACAGGCTAATATTCTTGGTGAGCATAAGTACAAAAATTTTCCAACAAGATACTAACAAGCTGAATTCTATAACATGTTAAATAGGTCATCCATCATGATCAAGTGAGATTTATCCCCAGGATGCAAGGATGGCTGAACATAGCAAATCAGTAAATGTGATCCATCTCACTGACAGAATGAAGGACAAAAACCATACGATCATCTCAATAGATGCAAAAAAATCATTTAGCAAAATTCAACATCTTTTTATGATAAAAAACTGACCAAATTAGGTACAAAAGGAAGATACCTCAGCACAATAAAGGCCATATAAGAGACACCCACAACCAATCTTATACTCATTAGTGAAAAATGGAAAGCCTTTCCTCCAAGATCTGGAACACTCTTACCACTTGTACATAGTATTGGAAGTCATCGCAAGAGCAGTCAGGCCATAGAAATAAATAAAAGGCATCCAAATAGGACCAGAAGAAGTGAGATAGTTGCTGTTTGCTGATGATCTTATACATAGAAAACCCTAGAGACTCCATCAAAAATTATGAGGATTAATAAATACAGTAAAAGTTGCAGGATACAAAATCAACACACAAAAATTAGTAGTTTTCTATATACTAACAGAAAACTACCTGAAAAAGAAATCAAGAAAACAATCTCTTTTACAATAGCTACCAAAAAAAAAATTCTTAGGAATAAATTTAACCAGGGAAGTAAAAGACCTGTACACTGAAAACTAGGTGAAAGAAATTGACACAATAAATATAAAGGTATCCCGTGTTCATGGAGTAGAAGAATTAGTATTGTTAAAATGTCCATACTACCCAAAACAGTCTACAGATTCAGTGCTATCCCTATCAAAATTCCAATGTCATTTTTCACAGAAGTAGAAAAAAAATCCTCAAGTTCATATGGAACCACAAACACACCAAAAAAAAGAAAAAATAGCCAAAACAATCATGAGCAAAAAGAACAAAGCTGTTCAGGCAGTGTGATGCCTCCAGCTTTGCAGTATTTCAAACTGTACTGCAAAAGCATAGTAATTAAAATGTCATGGTCCTGGCATAAAAATAGGCACATTGATGAATGGAACAGAATAAATTATGATTAATTTATTGACTTGATTATGATTAACCAATTATGGTTAATTGATTTTTAATAAAGGTGCTAAGAATACACAATGGGAAAAAGTCTCTTCAATAAATGGTGTTGGGAGAACTGGATATCCATATGCAGAAGAATGAAATTTGACCCTTATCTCACACCATATATACAAAAACCAACTCCAAACATATTAAGTAAACTTAAGACCAGAAACTGTAAAACTACTAGAAGAAAACATAAGGGGACAACTACATGACATTGGTTTGGGCAATGAGTTTTTGGATTGGACCCTCAAAGTGCAGGCAACAAAAATAAAAACAGACAAATGGGATTACATCAGACGCAGAAGCCTCTGCACAGCAAAGGAAACAAAAGTGTGAAGAGACAGCCTAGAAACAGAGAGAAAATATTTGCAAGCCATACATCAGAAAAGGCGTTAATATCCAAAATATGCAAGAAATGCAAACAGCTGTGTACAAACAGCCCATTTAAAAAAATGGGCCAAGGACCTGAATAGACATTTCTCAAAAGAAGACATGCAAATTGTGAACAGGTACGTGAAAAAATGCTCAACATTACTAATCCTTAGGGAAATGAAAATTAAAAGCACAATGAGATGTCATTTTATGCCTATCAGATGACTGTTAGCAAAAAGACAAAAGAGCTCTCGCTTTGGCAGCACAAAGACTAAAATTGGAATGATACAGAGAAGATTAGCATGGCCCCAGTGCAAGGATGACATGCAAATTCATGAAGCATTCCATATTTTAAAAAGAAAAGAAAAGAAACAAAAGATAAGAAGTGTTGGTGAGGATGTGGAGATAGTATAAATTAGTACAGCCATTATGGAAAACTGGAAGTTCTTCAAAAAACTAAAAATAGAATTACCATATGCTCCAACAATCCTTGTTCCATGTTTACACAACAGATTTGAAATCAGTTTGTCAAAGAGATGTTTGCACTCCTGTGTTGACTGCAGCGCTATTTACAACAGCCACATTACAGAATCAGCCTAAGTGTCCATCAGCAGATGAGTGGGTAAAGAAAGTGTGTTATACACAATTGACCCTTGAACAACATAGGTTGGAACTGCTCAGGTCCACTTATTTGTGGACTTTCTGTCACCTCTGCCACCCCTTAGCAAGACCACCCCCTCCTCTTCCTCCTGCTCAATGTGAAGACAAGGATGAAGACCTTTATGAGGACCCACTTCCACTTGATGAATAGTGAATATCTTTTCTTACTGATGATATTTTTATAACATTTTATTTTCTCTAGCTTCATTGTAAGAATACATCACATAATACATACAATATACAATATATGTGAGAATTGACTGTGCAGTTACTGGTAAGGCTTCTAGTCCATGGTAGGCTATTAATAGTTAAGTTATGGGGAAATCAACAGTTATACACAGATATTGGACTGAACAGGAAGTTGACGCCACTAACACAATGGAATACTATTCAGCCTTAAAAAGGCGGGAAATTTTGTCATTTGTAAGAACATGGGTGAAACTGGAGAACTGATGCTAAAAAAGGAACAGAAAGACAAATACCTAATGTTTTCACATTTCACATGTGACATCTAAAACTATTGAACCCCGAAGCAGAGGGTAGTGGTTATAGAGGCTGGGGTGGGGGGAGATGGTAAGGTGATGGCCAAAGGGTACAAAATCACAGATGGGTGTAACACTTTTTTTTTCTTTTTTTTTGAGATCTATTGCACAGTGTGGTGAATATGGTCAATAGTAGTGTATTGCACAGATTTAAATTACTGAGAGTAAATTTAAAATATTCTCACAAAAAAAGTATTTGAAATGATGGCTATATTAGCTCGATATAATTATTTCACATTGTATTCATAAATCATAACATCACTCTGTACTCCATAAATATATATGGTTATAACTTAAATAAAAAATTTTAAATTGTTATTGACATGAGTTACAACTGTCAATCATCCTAGTCTATAACATTTTTTAGCTATATGTTGCAAAAGTGAAAATCTTCAGAGAGAAGAAAAGATACTAAGTAGTAATTTCCTAGCAAAGAAGAGTGTGACTGCATTAAAATATTTAGTTATATTAAAAACCATATTTTAAAAAGAAATTCTCCTTTCTCAACAAAGTAATTCTTTAATGTTAACTTATTATATTCATGTGATGAAAAGTTTGCTGTTATCTTACGGTACTTTTGTACCATATTTGTTTCTGATTTTTTTTCTGGTTCTTAGGAGGAAGCACGAAAACATTTTGATTGTCCAGTTCTAGAGGGAATGGAACTTGAAAATCAAGGTGGTGTGGGCACTGAGCTCAACCATTGGGAAAAAAGGTTATTAGAGGTCAGTTTGTTTTTAAATTTTCCTAGACTTTATTTAATGAAAATAATTCATAATTATGGTAAAACTTATTCAAGCAGGTTATAAACTGAAAAATGTTTACGTCCCTTTACCCCTTCAGCTCTCCAGATGCACTTTCCAGATACAGTCACTCCTTACTTTTTTTGTATATACTTTCATAAATGTTATATATGTATGTGTGTGCAAACACACGCTGAATTGTCTATTTTTTCATGGGTTCACATATTTATGCAACTTTTTTCACTTTTTCCAAGGCACTATAGGTGCTTCTGCTATAATGCAATGTATGCTTTCCTGAAAAACCTTTTTCTTCACAATTGGACACTAAAAATAACAAGACTTGTGGGAAAAACAAGTAAACAGATCACTAACAGAAACAAATAAGTCATATAGAACTATGAGCTCCGTTTTAAAAAGACATCAGATTTTCAATAAATGAAGTCCTGTATCTACTCTAGTATTTTATTAAAATTTTTATGTTTTTTAGAGACAGGGCCTCACTGTGTCATCCAGGCTGGAGTGCTGCAGCTATTCACATGCATGATCATAGCACACTACAGCCTCGAATTCTTTTGGGCTCAAGCAGTCCTCCTGCCTCAGCCTCCGAAGTAGCTGGGACCACAGGCAAACACCACTGCACCCAGCCTACTCTAGTCTGTGTGTTCGTTCGTTTGTTCGTTCTTTTCTTTTGTTTTTTTTCTTTTCTTTTCTTTTCCTTTCTTTTCTTTTCTTTTCTTTTCTTTCTTTCTTTCCTTCTTTCTTTCTCTCTTTCTTTCCTTTTCTTTTTCCTTTTCCTTTCCTTTTACTTTTCTTTTTCTTTTTCCTTTTCTTTTAACTTTCTTTTCTTTCTTTCTGTCTCACTCCACTTGGTCAGGCTAGAGTACAGTGGCATGATTTCAGTTCACTGCAGCCTCAATCTCCTGGGCTCAAATGCTTCTCTCACCTCAGCCTACTGAGTAGCTAGGAATACAGGCAAGTGCCACCACACCCAGCTAATTTTCTTTTTGTTCTTTCAGTAGAGATGGGTTTCACCATGTTGCCCAGGCTGACCTCAAACTCATGGACTCAAGCAATTCACCCGCCTCAGCCTCCCAAAGTGTGGGGTTACGGGCATGCATTCCGCACCTGGCTACTCTAGCATTTCTTTACCTTCAACATCAGCAGCAATAATAACCCATGGTAGCTGGATGAGGGATTGTAAATCTGAGTATTGAGGACAGGGGTAAAGTGTACATAGACTTGTGAGAACCATACAGTAAACACTTGCACGCAGAGCCGCTGGCTACACCGAGCAGCACATTATGCACTGTACAGCATTTTTGTATTGCTGTGTTTGGCTGTCTTAGTATACTTGGTGTTTAGGCCTCATCACAAAATAGTCACATGCAGGGAAAAATCAATGAACCAACGTGATTCCTTGTTATACTGATGCCATTCCCTTATTTATGAATTTCACATGAGTTCATTCACATCGCAGAAACACATGCTTTCACAGAATAAACTGTATACTTGGATCTACCCATTTTTTTCTATATGAATGTAGCATAACAGTTCTGTGTTAATGAACACAGTTCATGGTTTAAATTTTGTGTTTTAGAAAATGTAATGAGCAACTTATTTATATCTGTGATACCCAGGATGGGGTTTCAGGTGGTGTTTTTAGATTCAACTAAGCAGTCAAACTCACAGGACCTAATCAAGCCATGTTGAGAAAAGATTCCCTTCGAGAAGGATATTAGAAGGAATACACAGCGTGCCAGCGCAGTAGAGCCAGGCATTCCTCTTGGGCTCCACATAGCAGTGGAAGGGCTGTCATCTGTGCCTCTCTCCCTCCCCATGCAGCTCAAGTACCAGAGCACAAGACCACAATAGACAGATGGGAGGACCAGCCTGGCTTAGAAAGATCATGTCCCAAATAGGAACCAGTATCTTTTTATTTTTAGAGATCTGCTTAAATAGATAGTTGCAGCTCATATACATCATGCCTAAAGTTAATACAATTCTGGAAAGAATGAAATTAGTGCTTGTGATTACTGTTCTTGTCTAGGTGACCACAAAGTAACAATGATGGAAACTTACGGAAGGGACGTACATTTATTCCTCCCATGGGAAGTGTGGTTTTTTTTTCCTTAAGAAATTTTCTTAAGTGACTCCCTTTAGAAAGCTGTACATTGGCCAGAAATGAAAATGTTTGTGCTTTTCAGCAGAAGCGCTGACAGTAGTAATTTCATTAACTTCTCTCAAATCAACTTTGTGTCCTTGAACTATTTTTTTTTTAAAGCGTGGTATCACAGTACTTGAGATGGCCATCTGGTGTTCAATGGAAAGATTTAAAGAACACTCAGAACTGTCCAAAGATGAAATAAGCTCTGTAAGAGGCAGTGAAGTCCTCATCATTAGGTGACCTCCTGATAGGAATTGTATGGTGTGAATTAAAATATTGGGTAGATGGTAGAGCATGATGATATTTTAGACCTTTCAAGGAAGTCCTTTTACCCCATGATTCTGTCCCACTTGTTTTGCATGTTACACATGTTTCTGTGATCACAGAGTTGAAGGTGAGGAAAACATTTTCAGTGTAATTCAGACAGCTATTCTCCCTGACCCCAAATTATCTGTGCATTTGCCTCAATCACCCACTTTGCTTTACCTGGAGAGTATAATATTTCTGTAGCATTTCTGTTTCCATATAGATTTATCTTCATTCATCACAGAGTTCTAAATGCCAGCTGCCTGCCATTCCAAGGGAATTGAACACAATGGAAGCACTTAGGGCAGAAAATAGATTTCACTTCAAGGTTCAGTCTAGTCATCTTAAAGGTTTATGTATTTCACCACTTTTAAGTGAATGTCTTGTCAGCCTCTCACAGTTGAAACATTTTAAATATGTATATCAGAGGAATTGCAGAAAATATTAGGAGTTGCAGAGAATCTAGTCTAATTAAACCCTGTTGGTGATTTTCAGAATGAAGCGATGACTGGTTCTCACACTCAGAATCGAGTACTCTCTCGAATCACTCTGGCATTAATGGAGGACACTGGGTAAGACAGCTGTGACAAGAGGATATGAATTGCTTATGAAAATGAAATTAATACTGAGCTTATAGCTTAAGAAAATGCTGACATTTTATGCTGAAGCAAAATATACTTATTAATTATTTGAATCTTGTACAGTTAGCTGTCCGTTATTCATACCAACTCCATTCATTCATTCGTTCATTCAATAAATACTTTTGTTGTTGGTTTTAAAATAGGGTCTCACTCCTTCTGCGCAGGCTGGAGTGCAGTGGCAATCTGGACTCACTAATCCTGGACTTCCCGGGCTCAAGCAGTCCTCTCACCTCAGCTTCCTGCGTGGCTGGGACTACAGGCACGTGCCACCATGCCTGGCTAACTGTGTATTTTTAATAGAGTCGGGGTTTTGTCATGTTACCCAGGTTCACAAACTTCTGGGCTCAAATGATCCACCCACCTTGGCCTCCCAAAGTGCTGGGATTACAGGCCTGAGCCACCTCACCTGGCCTCAACAAATATTTGAGGCCCCGAGACATAGTAATAATTAGGACATACCCCTGATATGATTTGTTTTCGAATAAGCAGGGGCTGAGCCCATATGAAGGAAAGAGTAAACAATTTTTAAATTATAAAGGAAAGACTAAACAATGTTTAAATTATGAAGGAAAGACTAAACAATTTTTAAATGACTGGTTTTTTATAAAACAATGGAACTTTCAGGTAAAGCCATGAAATACTGTTTTGTTTATTTTTTTAAGTAGAGACAAGGTCTCACTCTATTGCCCAGGCTGGTCCCAAACGCCTGGGCTCAAGCAAGCCTCCTGCCTTGGCCTCCCAAAGTGCTGGGATTACAGGCATGAGCCACCACGCCTGGCAGAAATACTGCTTTTAAATGAAATCTTTTATACAACCCCTACATATAAAAAAAATGAAAGCTGCTTTAGTGGAAGCGTTGTTACCTCTTACTCTTTCTAAGACAGTCTGAGAGAAAATTAGAAAATTGAATCAAATTTGAAAATTAATGGTAGAGGTGCTATTAAAACCATGAAAATTGTTGACACTACCTTCACTGTTGAGAGGTGAAAGAGGTAAAAGCATTTAAACATATAGAGGTTATTCTTTCTTTTTTTGAGACGGAGTGTTGCTCTGTCACCCAGGCTGGAGTGCAGTGGTGTGATCTTGGCTCACTGCAACCTCCACCTCTCAGGGTCAAGCGACTCTCCTGCCTCAGCCTCCTGAGTAGCTGGGACTACAGGCGTGCATCACCACACCCAGCTAATTTTTGTATTTTTAGTGTAGATGGGGTTTCGCCATGTCGGCCAGGCTGGTCTGGAACTCGTGACCTCAGGTGGTCTGCCCACCTCGGCCTCCCAAAGTGCTGGGATTACAGGCGTGAGCCACCGTGCCCAGCATATCTCATCGAGTTTTATGAGACTTAAATGAGTAAATATCTGTAAAGCTCTTAGTACAGCGCTTGGCACACTGTGAGTGCCAACTAAGTATGAGCATCATATAAAAACCTGAGCTAAGGCTTCATGAAACAATACTTACCCTGACCACCTACAGTGCAGTCCTTTATTGTATTGAGTTTTTATTTTTATTATTTTTTTTTATTTTTAGTTTTTAGTTTTTAAAGAGAGAGAAAGAAATGTTAATCAAGATCCACTACGTTGGTTTGACAACTCACTAATACTCAGAAACTCTCTGTTTCTAATGCCCCCTCTACTCCCTCACTAGTGCTCATCCTTCTGAGTTGAGCTAAAGTTGCTTCCTCAGAAAAACCTTCCCGAATTCTTCAGACTAATGTAGGTGTTTCTGTTACTGTGTTCCTGTTAGCATCATATACTTCTCCTTTGGAATATTCATCACACTTCAAATGTTTTGTTTTAGTATCTGTCTTCCCTACTAGATTATGATCTTCATGAGAGCAGGTTCTGTTTATTGATTTACTACTGTAGCCTTCATTTAACAAAGTGCCTACCATGCGACAAATGCTTAGGAACTGTTGACTGCTAATACAGAAAGAGCTGCAAAGAAACGGTTATCAGGAAGGTCTCATGATGTGTAGCTGGAGTGCCCACCTGAGGATGGAATAACAGCGCTGATAAGATATTCTGCGCTCATCGACATGTACCTTCACAAAGGAGTCTACTTACTCCACATTTTATTCATAGGGCTAAGGGCTTCTGAACCTGAGCACTGCTAAAATAATTGCTAGTGCACAACATTAGGGGCACCTGTCACTATCTGGACAGTTTGACCTTGCTGCGATACCAAGTTAGCTAGTAACGTAACTCACATTGTAGTTGCAGAAGTTGCAGGCATTTTGGCATTGGAGCACCGCGACTCCTTCAGTTTCTGTCTGAGTGAGAGTTTTGTTCGTTGACAGGAGAGAAGTTTTGGAAGATGCTACATTACACATTTGTTTGATTTTGTAGCAAGGTGGTACAAGTGGAGGGGATAATTCTTATCTCCCCAACTTTCAAGCCTATTTTTTTCAATATTATTATTTTTTATTATAGAGATGGGGTTTCGCCACGTTGCCCAGGCTGGTCTCAAACTCCTGAGCTAAAGTGATCCACCCACCTTGGCCTCACTAAGTACTGAGATTTCAGGCGTGAGCCACTGCGCCCAGCCCTGAGCCTATGTTTTTATTTACTGTTTTGATAATGCTAAAGGAACAAAATATAATACACACAGGTAAGAGACTATTTTGTATAATTTTATAACTTTTGCAAGCAAATCTTGTCTCTAAAAATAAATAAAAACTAAAACAAATTGATTGCTTTCAATTAAATTTGTCTGGAAACTCCATCAGTGCTTTCTTTTTTCTCTTACTAGAACTTTTTTTTTTGAGACAAGGTCTCACTCTATTTCCCAGGCTGGAGTGCAGTGGCATGATCCTGGGCTGAGGTGATCCTGCCACTTCAGCCTCTCAGGTAACTGAGACTATAAGTACACACCACTGCACACCTGGCTAACTTTTTGTATTTTTAGTAGAGACAGGGTCTCACCATGTTGGCCAGGCTGGTCTCGAACTCCCAACCTCAAATGGTCAACCGCCTCAGCCTCCCAGAGTGCTGGGGTTACAAATGTGAGTCACTGCGCCCAGCTAGGACATTTAAAAACTAATGGACATAGGCTGGGCACAGTGGCTCATACCTGCAATCCCAGCACTTTGGCAGGCCAAGGCGGGTGGATCACCTGAGATCAGGAGTTTGAGACCAGTGTGGCAAACATAGTGAAACCCCGTCTCTACTAAAAATGCAAAAATTAGTCAGACATGGTGGTGCATGCCTGTAGTCCCAGCTAGTTGGGAGGCTGAGGAAGGAGAATCACTTGAACCCATGAGGCAGAGCTTGTAGTGAGCTGGGATCGTGCCACTGCACTCCAGCCTGGGTGACAGAGCAAGACCCTGTCTCAAAATAAAATAAAGTGAAAATTACAATAGAAATTTTATACTTATGTCAAAGTATAAAAGTATTTAATACCTCCATCATAAGCCTGGTTATGGAATCCCTGTGTAGCAGTCCCTGTGCGGCAAGAACGTTGTGAGTGATCACTTACAGTGATGGCCTCTGGCCTCCAAAATCTTTCTTAAGGTCCTAATGTGCTCATTGTTGAGATTCTCAATTGTTATGCTAGAGTTGTTTTTGAAAGGACAGCAGTAAAAATTGCTTTGTTTGAATTATTCCACAGCTGGTATAAAGCAAATTACAGCATGGCTGAGAAGTTAGACTGGGGCCGAGGAATGGGCTGTGACTTTGTCAGGAAGAGCTGTAAATTCTGGATTGATCAGCAGAGACAAAAGTAAGAATGCATTTCCTCACAGTGTCACTGATTACACAGTTCCTTTCTGACTTTATTCTTTATCCTGAGCCTAAAATGCTATTTTCAAAATGTAGTCTGAGCAGTTCAATTTTAAAATATATAGAAAACCATCTATAGATGGTTGGTAATAATATAGTGAGAAGTTAGCTGTAAGTAGTTTTTAATCATATACTAAAGGAATCCACAGTGAAGGGCCCACAGCCATGAACATTTCTATTCAGCTTATTAGAACTCATAAATATATATATTTTACAAACCTTTTGTTTCCTCTGTCATTTGTGGTGTTTTCTTCAGAGAATGCACCTGTAAACATAGATGCAAATATTGATTCAGTATCAAAAAAAAGGCACTTTTGAATAGGGGTTTCCAAATCCAGATGCATATTATAATCACCTAGCAAGCTTTTAAAAAATACAGAGTAAGTTTGATATCTATCTATATATCATCTATACAGATACATATCATACATAGTAAGTTTGACATTATCTATATATCATCTATACAGATACATATCATACGTAGTAAGTTTGACATCTATCTATATATCATCTATACAGATACATATCATACGTAGTAAGTTTGACATCTATCTATATATCATCTATACAGATACATATCATACGTAGTAAGTTTGCCATCTATCTATATATCATCTATACAGATACATATCATACGTAGTAAGTTTGCCATCTATCTATATATCATCTATACAGATACATATCATACGTAGTAAGTTTGCCATCTATCTATATATCATCTATACAGATACATATCATACGTAGTAAGTTTGCCATCTATCTATATATCATCTATACAGATACATATCATACGTAGTAAGTTTGCCATCTATCTATATATCATCTATACAGATACATATCATACGTAGTAAGTTTGACATCTATCTATATATCATCTATACAGATACATATCATACGTAGTAAGTTTGCCATCTATCTATATATCATCTATACAGATACATATCATACGTAGTAAGTTTGCCATCTATCTATATATCATCTATACAGATACATATCATACGTAGTAAGTTTGCCATCTATCTATATATCATCTATACAGATACATATCATACGTAGTAAGTTTGCCATCTATCTATATATCATCTATACAGATACATATCATACGTAGTAAGTTTGCCATCTATCTATATATCATCTATACAGATACATATCATACGTAGTAAGTTTGCCATCTATCTATATATCATCTATACAGATACATATCATACGTAGTAAGTTTGCCATCTATCTATATATCATCTATACAGATACATATCATACGTAGTAAGTTTGCCATCTATCTATATATCATCTATACAGATACATATCATACGTAGTAAGTTTGCCATCTATCTATATATCATCTATACAGATACATATCATACGTAGTAAGTTTGACATCTATATATCATCTATACAGATACATATCATACGTAGTAAGTTTGACATCTATCTATATATCATCTATACAGATACATATCATACGTAGTAAGTTTGACATCTATCTATATATCATCTATACAGATACATATCATACGTAGTAAGTTTGACATCTATCTATATATCATCTATACAGATACATATCATACGTAGTAAGTTTGACATCTATCTATATATCATCTATACAGATACATATCATACGTAGTAAGTTTGACATCTATCTATATATCATCTATACAGATACATATCATACGTAGTAAGTTTGACATCTATCTATATATCATCTATACAGATACATATCATACGTAGTAAGTTTGACATCTATCTATATATCATCTATACAGATACATATCATACGTAGTAAGTTTGACATCTATCTATATATCATCTATACAGATACATATCATACGTAGTAAGTTTGCCATCTATCTATATATCATCTATACAGATACATATCATACGTAGTAAGTTTGACATCTATCTATATATCATCTATACAGATACATATCATACGTAGTAAGTTTGACATCTATCTATATATCATCTATACAGATACATATCATACGTAGTAAGTTTGACATCTATCTATATATCATCTATACAGATACATATCATACGTAGTAAGTTTGACATCTATCTATATATCATCTATACAGATACATATCATACGTAGTAAGTTTGACATCTATCTATATATCATCTATACAGATACATATCATACATGTATATATACAGTTGTTCTTTAACCATGGAGGATTGCTTCCAGGACCCCCCTGGATAACAAAATCCATAGATGCTTATGTAAAAGTTTCTTATATAAAATGGAATAGTATTTGCATATAACCTATGTATATCCTCCTGTATACTTTAAATTACTTCTGGGTTATTTATAATACATAATACAATATAAATGCTATGGAAATAGTTGTTATACTATATTGTTTAGGGAAAAATGACAAAGAAGAAAAGTGCCCATGTTCAGTACAGATGCAACCATCATTTTTTCCCTGAATTTTTCTTTTCTTTTTCTTTTTCTTTTTTTTTTTTTTGAGACAGAGTCTCACTCTGTTGCCCAGGCTGGAGTGCAGTGGCGCAGTCTCAGCTCACTGCAACCTCTACCTACTAGGTTCAAGCAATTCTCATGCCTCAGCCTCCTGAATAGCTGTGATTATAGGCGTGCGCCACCACTCCCGGCTAATTTTGTAATTTTAATAGAGATGGGATTTTTCCTTGTTGGCCAGGCTGGCTCACACCTGTAATCCCAGCACTTTGGGAGGCCGAGGCGGGTGGGTCACTTGAGGTCAGGAGTTCAAGACCAGCCTGGCCAACATAGTGAAACCCCATCTCTACTAAAAATATAAAAATTAGCCAGGCGTGGTGGTGGGCGCCTGTAACCCTAGCTACTCAGGAGGCTGAGGCAAGGAAACAGCTTGAATCCAGGAGGCAGGGGTTGCAGTGAGCCAAGATCGCACCACTGTATTCCAGCCTGGGTGACAGAGTGAGGCTCTGTCTCAAAAAAGAGAAAGCAACAGCAACAACAAAAATGTTACATGAATGAATTCATATTGTATGTGAACTTTTGAGCGTGGCTTTTTTTACTCAGCATAATTCTCTGGAAATTCATCCAGGTTGTTGTATGTATCAATAATTTCACTTTTCATGGCTGGTTAATATTCCGCAGTATGATACACCACAGTTTGTTTAAACATTCACACTTTGAAGGACATCTGGATTGTTTCCAGTTTTGGGCTATTATGAATGAAGTTGCTGTGAACATTTATGTACAGGTTTGTGTGTGAACATATATCTTTATTTCTCCAGAAAAAGTGCCAGGAATGCAGTTACTGGCTCATTAAGTAATTACAGGTTTAGTTTTGTAAGAAAATGCCAAACTTTTTAATTCCTGACAGTGACGTGTAAGTGATATAGTTTCTCCACATCTTTGCCAGCATTTGGCGTTGTCACAATTTTTTGTTTAATCGATTCTGATAGGAGCGTAGTGATATTTTATTTTGGTTTTAATTTGTGTTTCCCTAACGGCTAATGATGTTGAACCTCTTTTCATGTGCTTACTCACTGATAATATATCCTCTTTGGCAAATTGTCTCTTTGTCTTTTTTTTTTTCTGAGATGGAGTTTTGCTCCGTCACCCAGGCTGGAGTGCAGTGGCGCGATCTTGGCTCACTGTAACCTCTGCCTCCCAGGTTCAAGCAATTCTTTTGCCTCAGCCTCCAGAGTAGCTGGGACTACAGGCACGTACCACTATGTCTGGCTAATTTTTGAATTTTTAGTAGAGATGGGGTTTTACCATGTTGGCCAGGCTGGTCTCGAACTCCTGACCTCGTGATCCACCTGCCTCAGCCTCCCAAAGTGCTGGGATTATAGGCGTGAGCCACTCTTAAGCCAATTTTTTAATTGGATTGTTTTTTACTGTTGAGTTTTGAGAGTTCTTCATGTATTTTGGGTATTTTGGGTAGTAGTAGTCCTTTGTCAGATATGTGGTTTGCAAATATTTTCTCCCAGTACATAGCTTGTCTTTTTGTCCTTTTAACAGGGGCTTTTGTAGGGCAAATGTTTTTAGTTTTGACGGAGTCCAGAATATCAGTTTGTCCTCTTACTGTGTCTTTGATGTCAAGTCTAAGAAGTGTTTGCCAAGCTCTAGATCTTGAAAGTTTTCTTATGTTTTTTTCAAAAGTTTTGTAGTTTACACTTTACATTTAAGTCCATGATTCATTTGAGTTAAGTTTTGTATAAGGTGGGAGACTTAGATCAAGGTTTGTTTCTTTGTGTACAGATAGGCAATGGCTTTAGCACCATTTGTTGAAAAGGCTATCTTTCCTTCATGGAATTGCTTTTGTGCCTTTGGCAGAAACCATCAGTTGGGTGTATTTGTGGTGATCTGTTTCTATCTGTTTCTGTGTTTTCCGTTCTGTTCTAGTGATCCATGTGTCCATGCCTTCACCAATAACACACAGTCCTTAATTACTGTAATTATTTAATAAGTCTTGAAATTGGGTAGACTGATTCTTTCCACTATTTTAAAATTGTTCTGGCTGTTTTGGTTCCTTTGCATTTCCATCTACGTTTTACAATTATCTCGTCTGTATCTGCCAAAAGACTTGCAGGGATTTTGCTAGGAGCTGCATTAACCCTGTGTGTCAGTTTGAGGAGAATTGACATTTTTACTGTGTTGAGTTTTCCAATCCATAAACATGGGAGAAAACATTCAGTCTTTCATTATTAAATATAATGTTAGCTGCAGATTTTTTATACATGTTCTTTATCAAGTTGAGAAAGTAGCTGTCTATTCCTGTGTTTCTGAGAGCTTTAATCATGAATGGATATTGCCTTCTGTCAAATGCTCTTTCTACTTTAGTTGCTATGCATAATCAAGTGATTTTTTTCGCCTGTTAATATGGTGGACTTCATTGGTTGATTTTCAAATATTAAATCACCCTTGCATTCCTGGAGTAAACCCCACTTGGTGATGGCTTATAATTATTTCTGTATGTTGCTGAATTCTATGTACTATTATTTTGTTGTGGATTTTTGTTTCTATATTTGTGACGAATATAGATCTGGAGTTTTCTCTTTTTTCCCCAATTATTTTACCTTTAATTAATCAGTATGGCTCTCAGAACAATTATATTATGTCAGTTAAACTTGATCTTTTTCAAATCTGACACATTTTGAAAAACAGGTATATCCTTCCAGTAAGAGAGATTTAAAAAATAATAGTAAGAAGAAAATTTATGAAATACATAATAATTATTACTAAATGAGCAAATAATGGGCTCTCCTGTCATACTTAATATTGACTTGATTTAAATTATTATTTATGGCCAGACATGGTGGCTTACACTTGTAATCCTAGCACTTTGGGAGGCTGAGGCAGGCTGATTGCTTGAGCCCAGGAGTTCAAGACTAGCCTGGACAACATGGCGAAAGCCCATCTCTACAACAAAATACAAAAATGAGGTGGGCATGGTGGCCCATGCCTGTAGTCCCAGCTACTCAGAAGGCTGAAGCAGGAGGATCACTTGAGCCCAGAAGCTCAAGGCTGCAGTGAGCTATGACTGCACCACTGCACTCCATCCTGGGCATCTCTACATAAATAAATGATTTATATAATACTCTGAAGAATAAATCCCAGTATATGATGAGGTGTTTATCATGCTTTATTTTTATTTTGATTCAGTTCAAAATATTTTTCTCTTTTAATTCAAAACTCTTGTGTCACTTTGAGTTCAAAATATTTTTAACTTTCTCTTGAGATTTCTTCTTTGACCACTGTATAATTTAGAAGTGCTTTGTTTAATTTCCAGCTATTTTGAGATGTTCCAGCTATCTTTCTGTTACTGATTTCTAGTTTAATTCCATTGTTGCAAGAGAGCAGAACATGGTATGATTTCTCTTTTACATTTGTTAAGGTGTGTTTCATGGCCCAGAATGTGGTCTGTCTTGGTGAATGCACCATGTAAGCTTGAAAAAAATCTGTTGTCTGCTGTTTTTGGTTGAAGTAGTCTGTAGAGTCTGCTATATCCAGTTTGTTAATGGTGCTGTTGAACTCAACTGTGTCCTTACTGATTTTCTGCCTGCTGCATCTGTCCATTTCTGAGAAATGGATATTCAAATCTGCAGTGATAATAATGGATTCATCTATTTCATCTTGCAGTTCTATCCATTTTGACTTACATATTTTGACACTTTATAGTTAGGTGCACACATGTTTAGGATTGTTATATTTTCATAGAGTACTGATTCCTTTATCATTTTGTAATTCCTCTCTTTATCTCTGATCATTTTCTTTGAAAAGAAAAAAGTTCTTTTTTGTACCATCTTTGTCTAGTTTCTGTATCAGAGTAATACTAGCTTTATAAAATGAACTAGGAAGTTTTTCCTCCTCTTCTATTTTTCTGGAAGAGATTGTATAAAATTGGTGTTAATTCTTCTCTAAGTGTTTGGTAGCATTCTCCAGTGAAACATCTGGGCCTGGAGATTTCTCTTTTGGAAGTCTTAAAATTGTGAATTATTGTGAATTAAACTTCTTTAGTAGTTACAGGGCTATTCTTATCATCTGTTTCATAGTGCATGAATTGTGGTAACATGTTTTTTAAGGAATTGGTTCATTTTGTCTAAGTTATCAAGTTTATGTGTATAGGGTTTTTTGTAGTATTCCATTATTATTCTTTTGACATCTGTAGGGTCTGTTTTAATTTGTAATTTTTGTTGGTACATACTAGGTGTATATATTAATGGGGTAAATGAGATATTTTGATATAGGCATACACTGTGAAATAATCTCATCATGGAGGATGGGATATCCATCCTATGGGGTCTGTTGTGATATCTCTTTTCAGTCCTGATATTGGTAATTTTGCATGTTCTCTTTATCTTTTTCTAGAGGTTTGCCAATTTTACTGATCTTAAAGAACCAGCTTTTTGTATTGTTGATGTCTTCTATTGTTTTTTTGTTTTCAAATTCATTGATTTCTGCTCCCTGCTATATCTTTCCCACTGCTTGTTTTTGGTTTATTTATTTAATTATTATGATGATGATTATTTTTTGAGATGGAGTCTCACTCTGTCGCCCAGGCTGGAGTGCAGTGGCACAGTCTTGGCTCACTGCAGCCTCCGCCTCCCGGGTTCAAACAATTCTCCCGACTCAGCCTCCCAAGTAGCTGGGACTACAGGTGCACACCACCACACCCCGCTAATTTTGTATTTTTTAGTAGGGATTTCACCATGTTGGCCAGGCTGGTCTTGAACTCCTGACCTCAAGTGATCTGCATGCCTTGGCCTCCCAAAGTGCTGGGATGACAGGTGTGAGTCACCACGCCCAGCGTTTTCTGTTTTGTTTTATTTTTAAAGACAAGGTCTGTTGCCCAGGCTTGAGTACAATGGGTGCGATCATGAGGCTCACTGCAGCCTTGACCTCCTGGGCTCAAGCAAACCTTTCTCCTCAGCCTTTCAAGTAGCTGGGACTACAGGCACACACCCCCACACCCAGCTAAATTTTTGTATTTTTGTAGAGACAGGGTTTCACTGTATTGCTCAGGCTAGTCTTGAACTCCTGGGCTCTAGCAATCGGCCCACCTCGGCCTCCCAAAGTGCTGGGATTATAGTCGTGAGCCACTGTGCCTGGCCTATTTTTCTCTTCTTAATCTTGATTTTTGAGATTATTGATTTGAGATATTTCCTGTTTCTAATGTAGCTATTTGTTGCTATAAATTTTCCTCTTAGCATTTCTTTAGCTTTATCTCACAAATTCCAATATGTTATATTTTTATTTTCATTCAGTTCAATGTATTTTTAAAAATTTTTCTTTGAGATTCTTCTTTGACCCATCGATTATTTAGAAGTGTGTTGTTTAGTATACAAATATTTGGAAATTTTTCTGTTATTTTTTGTTGTTGAATTGTATTTGGAGAATATATGCTGTATGATTTGAGTTCTTTTAAATTTGTTCAGGTTTGTTTTATGGCCCAAGATATGGTCTTATCTTGATATAAGTTTTTTATTTTTTTTTATTATTATACTTTAAGTTTTAGGGTACATGTGCACAACGTGCAGGTTTGTTACATATGTATACATGTGCCATGTTGGTGTGCTGCACCCATTAACTTGTCATTTAGTATTAGGTATATCTCCTAATGCTATCCCTCCTCACTCCCCCCACCCCACAACAGGTCCTGGTGTGTGATGTTCCCCTTCCTGTGTCCATGTGTTCTCATTGTTCAATTCCCACCTATGAGTGAGAACATGCGGTGTTTGTTTTTTTGTCCTTGTGATAGTTTGCTGAGAATGATGGTTTCCAGCTTCATCCATGTCCCTACAAAGGACATGAACTCATCCTTTTTTATGGCTGCATAGTATTCCATGGTGTATATGTGCCACATTTTCTTAATCCAGTCTATCATTGTTGGACATTTGGGTTGGTTCCAAGTCTTTGCTATTGTGAATAGTGCCGCAATAAACATACGTGTGCATGTGTCTTTATAGCAGCATGATTTATAGTCCTTTGGGTATATACCCAGTAATGGGATGGCTGGGTCAAATGGTATTTCTAGTTCTAGATCCCTGAGGAATCGCCACACTGACTTCCACAATGGTTGAACTAGTTTACAGTCCCACCAACAATGTAAAAGTGTTCCTATTTCTCCACATCCTCTCCAGCACCTGTTGTTTCCTGACTTTTTAATGATCGCCATTCTAACTGGTGTGAGATGGTACACCAAAAGCAATGGCAACAAAAGCCAAAATTGACAAATGGGATCTAATTAAACTAAAGAGCTTCTGCACAGAAAAAGAAACTACCATCAGAGTGAACAGGCAACCTACAGAATGGGAGAAAATTTTTGCAATCTACTCATCTGACAAAGGGCTAATATCGAGAATCTACAATGAACTCAAACAAATTTACAAGAAAAAAACAAACAACCCCATCAAAAAGTGTTTTTTTTATTTTTTAAATTTTTTTGAGACGGAGTTTCACTCTGCCACCCAGGCTGGAGTGCAGTGGTGCAATCTCGGCTCACTGCAGCCTCTGGTGCCGAGTTCAAGCTCTTCTCCTGCCCCAGCCTTCCAGGTAGCTGGGACTACAGGCGCCCACCACCATGCCCGGCTAATTTTTTTATTTGTAGTAGAGACGGGGTTTCATTCTGTTGACCAGGCTGGTCTTGAACTGCTGACCTCAGCTGATCTGCCCGCCCTGGCTTCCCAATGTGTTGGGATTACAGGCGGGAGCCACCGTGTACATTCGGACGCTGGGTGAAGCGTTGCACAAATGTCAGTTAAGTCCTGTTGGTTGATGATGTTGGGTTCTTCTATATCCTTGCTAATTTCCTGCCTAGTTGGTCTATCAGTTGTTGAGAGAATTCACCACCATATCAGTCTTTGAGTCCTGAAGTCCCTAACTAGTCTGACTTCTCTCCACCCTTCAGAGCCCCCTAACTAGTCTGACTTCTCTGTACCGTTCAGAGCCTCCTAACGAGTCTGACTTCTCTCCACCCTTCAGAGTCCCCTAACTAGTCTGACTTCTCTCCACCCTTCAGAGTCCCCTAACTAGTCTGACTTCTCTGTACCCTTCAGAGTCCCCTAACTAGTCTGCCTTCTCTGTACCCTTCAGAGCCCCCTAACTAGTCTGACTTCTCTGTACCTTTCAGAGCCTCCTAACTAGTCTGACTTCTCTGTACCCTTCAGAGCCCCCTAACTAGTCTGACTTCTCTCCACCCTTCAGAGTCCCCTAACTAGTCTGACTTCTCTGTACCCTTCAGAGTCCCCTAACTAGTCTGACTTCTCTGTACCCTTCAGAGTCCCCTAACTAGTCTGACTTCTCTGTACCCTTCAGAGCCCCCTAACTAGTCTGACTTCTCTGTACCCTTCAGAGTCCCCTAACTAGTCTGACTTCTCTGTACCCTTCAGAGTCCCCTAACTAGTCTGACTTCTCTGTACCCTTCAGAGCCCCCTAACTAGTCTGACTTCTCTCCACCCTTCAGAGCCCCCTAACTAGTCTGACTTCTCTCCACCCCTCAGAGCCCCCTAACTAGTCTGACTTCTCTCCACCCTTTAGAGCCCCCTAACTAGTCTGACTTCTCTGTACCCTTCAGAGCCCCTTAACTAGTCTGACTTCTCTGTACCCTTCAGAGTCCCCTAACTAGTCTGACTTCTCTGTACCCTTCAGAGCCCCCTAACTAGTCTGACTTCTCTCCACCCTTCAGAGCCCCCCAACTAGTCTGACTTCTCTCCACCCCTCAGAGCCCCCTAACTAGTCTGACTTCTCTCCACCCTTTAGAGCCCCCTAACTAGTCTGACTTCTCTCCACCCTTCAGAGCCCCCTAACTAGTCTGACTTCTCTCCACCCATCAGAGCCCCCTAACTAGTCTGACTTCTCTCCACCCTTCAGAGCCTCCTAACTAGTCTGACTTCTCTGTACCCTTCAAAGCCTCCTAACTAGTCTGACTTCTCTGTACCCTTCAGAGCCCCTTAACTAGTCTGACTTCTCTGTACCCTTCAGAGCCTCCTAACTAGTCTGACTTCTCTCCACCCTTCAGAGCCCCCTAACTAGTCTGACTTCTCTCCACCCTTCAGAGCCCCCTAACTAGTCTGACTTCTCTCCACCCTTCAGAGTCCCCTAACTAGTCTGACTTCTCTCCACCCTTCAGAGCCCCCTAACTAGTCTGACTTCTCTCCACCCTTCAGAGCCTCCTAACTAGTCGGACTTCTCTGTACCCTTCAGAGCCCCTTAACTAGTCTGACTTCTCTGTACCCTTCAGAGCCCCCTAACTAGTCTGACTTCTCTGTACCCTTCAGAGCCCCCTAACTAGTCTGACTTCTCTCCACCCCTCAGAGCCCCCTAACTAGTCTGACTTCTCTCCACCCTTTAGAGCCCCCTAACTAGTCTGACTTCTCTCCACCCTTTAGAGCCCTCTAACTAGTCTGACTTCTCTGTACCCTTCAGAGCCTCCTAACTAGTCTGACTTCTCTGTACCCTTCAGAGTCCCCTAACTAGTCTGACTTCTCTGTACCCTTCAGAGTCCCCTAACTAGTCTGACTTCTCTGTACCCTTCAGAGCCTCCTAACTAGTCTGACTTCTCTGTACCCTTCAGAGCCCCTTAACTAGTCTGACTTCTCTGTATCCTTCAGAGCCCCCTAACTAGTCTGACTTCTCTCCACCCTTCAGAGTCCCCTAACTAGTCTGACTTCTCTCCACCCTTCAGAGCCCCCTAACTAGTCTGACTTCTCTCCACCCATCAGAGCCCCCTAACTAGTCTAACTTCTCTGTATCCTTCAGAGCCCCCTAACTAGTCTGACTTCTCTCCACCCTTCAGAGCCCCCTAACTAGTCTGACTTCTCTCCACCCTTCAGAGCCCCCTAACTAGTCTGACTTCTCTCCACCCTTCAGAGCCCCCTAACTAGTCTGACTTCTCTCCACCCATCAGAGCCCCCTAACTAGTCTAACTTCTCTGTATCCTTCAGAGCCCCCTAACTAGTCTGACTTCTCTCCACCCTTCAGAGCCCCCTAACTAGTCTGACTTCTCTCCACCCTTCAGAGTCCCCTTAACTAGTCTGACTTCTCTGTATCCTTCAGAGCCCCCTAACTAGTCTGACTTCTCTCCACTCTTCAGAGCCCCCTAACTAGTCTGACTTCTCTCCACCCTTCAGAGCCCCCTAACTAGTCTGACTTCTCTCCACCGTTCAGAGCCCGCTAACTAGTCTGACTTCTCTCCACCCTTCAGAGCCCCCTAACTAGTCTGACTTCTCTCCACCCATCAGAGCCCCCTACCTAGTCTGACTTCTCTCCACCCATCAGAGCCCCCTAAGTAGTCTGACTTCTCTCCACCCTTCAGAGCCCCCTAACTAGTCTGACTTCTCTCCACCGTTCAGAGCCCGCTAACTAGTCTGACTTCTCTCCACCCTTCAGAGCCCCCTAACTAGTCTGACTTCTCTCCACCCTTCAGAGCCTCCTAACTAGTCTGACTTCTCTGTACCCTTCAGAGTCCCCTAACTAGTCTGACTTCTCTGTACCTTTCAGAGCCTCCTAACTAGTCTGACTTCTCTCCACCCTTCAGAGCCCCCTAACTAGTCTGACTTCTCTGTACCTTTCAGAGCCTCCTAACTAGTCTGACTTCTCTCCACCCTTCAGAGCCCCCTAACTAGTCTGACTTCTCTCCACCCTTCAGAGCCCCCTAACTAGTCTGACTTCTCTCCACCCTTCAGAGCCCCCTAACTAGTCTGACTTCTCTCCACCCTTCAGAGCCCCCTAACTAGTCTGACTTCTCTCCACCCTTCAGAGCCCCCTAACTAGTCTGACTTCTCTCCACCCTTCAGAGTCCCCTAACTAGTCTGACTTCTCTCCACCCTTCAGAGTCCCCTAACTAGTCTGACTTCTCTCCACCCCTCAGAGCCCCCTAAGTAGTTTGACTTCTCTCCACTCTTCAGAGCCCCCTAACTAGTCTGACTTCTCTCCACCCTTCAGAGCCCCCTAACTAGTCTGACTTCTCTCCACCCTTCAGAGCCCCCTAACTAGTCTGACTTCTCTCCACCCTTCAGAGCCCCCTAACTAGTCTGACTTCCCTCCACCCTTCAGAGTCCCCTAACTAGTCTGACTTCTCTGTACCCTTCAGAGTCCCCTAACTAGTCTGACTTCTCTCCACCCTTCAGAGTCTTCTTTTGTTTCTTTAATTTACAGTGTCTGGGTTTTTAGTTGTACTTAGAAGGGGGAATAGAGAAAAGCACATCTAGTCCATCTTCCAGGAATTAGAAGTGGTACTGATATTTCTATTGTTATATTTAAAAAAAAATTCCCCTGGTGGGCCGGGTGTGGTGTGGTGGCTCATACCTGTAATCCCAGCAGTTTGGGAAGAGGGAAGATGGCTTGAGCCCAGGAGTTTGAGACCAGACTGGGCAACATGACCCCATCTCTACAAAGTAAAAAAATTAGGCTGGCATGGTGGCGTGGCCCTGTAGTCCCAGCTACTTGGAGGCTGTGGTGAGAGGATCCCTTGAGCCCAGGAGGTCACAGCTGTGGTGAGCTGTGAGCATGCCACTGCACTCCAGTGTGGGTGACAGCAAGACCCTGTTGCAAAAACAAAAAAAAAAAAAAAAAAAGGAAAAGAAAATACTATTCTCATCTTTTCTCACCTAGGTTAGGTCATAAAGCAATTTAAATCACTTGTAGTTTCTACTAAGGAGTCTGACCTCTGAGTTGTAACCCTAATGTGAAGATAATAGGCAGTAGCCGGAAGCACCGGCAACCACTCTGGGTGTCCCCAGCTTGTTACCCCTGCACTACAGGTTGACCTGCCAGTTCTCAAATTTTGCTGCTTATGAAAATCGTCTACAGAACTGGAAAAACTCTCCATACCCCAGTTACTAATTAAGTCATGACTGTGCTGAGAGCCGGGCACTAGCATTGTGTGAGTTTGTTTTAATAAATTCCCAAGTGATTTTATGTGTAATGGAGTTTGGGAACCACTGTTCCGGTGTGTCAAAGGAAGTATGTAACTCACACTGCAGCTGCAAGAGCTTAGGGAGGTTTTTGTTTGTTCACTTTTCTGTTAACAGTTGCAACTCTGTTTATTCCCCTTTTGGTCCCAATTATAACATCACCTAAGACCAGAAACAGAAGGGACTTCTACTTCTTTATTCTTAAAAACTAAAACTGTGGGTCCCCTGAATTCTCTCCTGTCCTTTGATTCTTAAGCCACTGTCAGCAAGGTTTTTTTTTGAAGTCCAAATAGTAAATATTTTAGGTTTTGAGGGTTATTACAGTCTCTGTCACAACTACTTACCTCTACTTTTATACAGCAAGAGGCAAAACAAATGGGCATGGCCATGTTCCTGTCATCTTCCCCATCTCTACAGAAAGTAAATGAGCATGGTGGCACATGCTTGTAGTCCCACTTGCTTGGGAGGCTGAGGTGGGAGGATTGCTTGAGCCGAGAAGATCAAGGCTGCAGTGAGCAATGGTTGTGCCACTGCACTCCAGCCTGGGCAACGAAACCCTGTCTCAAAAACAAAAAATCGACAAGGAAAAAAAAAACAGGTTGTGGTCAGGATTTGACCCAAGAGTTGAGTTTGCTGACCCCTGTCACAGTCATTCAAATGTCCCACTTGTGAGGCATTGAAATTCAGAATCATTTACAGGATAGAAGCCATCTTCTGACATCACAGACCCAGTCTGCCTGTATGTATGTTAGAGATTCCAGTGTGGCTGTTCTCAAGCACTTCTGGGCTTCGTCATTTGTGACTCTTCTCCATTGTTGGGAAACCAGGGTGAGAAGGGATTGGTTGAGTGAGCGTAGGCAGAGCCATACTTCTTTGAATCACTTGAATCTACACCTACTTAAAGTAAGGTTCTTTCTATGTTCGAAGCAACTAAAACTGATAAATCGCCCAACTCCTCTGCCTAGCTCATTTGGTGTTAATATTGGCTCTAGAGCTATACTGTCTAATATGGTACCATTAGCCACATGTAGTTAAACTTATATTTAAATTAAAGTTAAATACCATTTAAAATTTAGTTCCTCAGGGCCAGGCATGGTGGCCCATGACCGTAATCCCAGCACTTTGGGAGGCAGAGGTGGGCAGATCACGAGGTCCAGAGATTGAGACCATCCTGGCCAAGATGATGAAACCTGGTCTCTACTAAAAATACAAAAATTAGCTGGGTGTAGTGGGACACACCTGTAGTCCGAGCTACTTGGGAGGCTGAGGGAGGAGAATTGCTTGAACCCGGGAGGTGGAGCTTGCAGTGAGCCGAGATCGCACTACTGCACTCCAGCCTGGCGACAGAGCAAGACTCTGTCTCAAAATAAATAAATAAATAAGTTCCTCAGTTAACTAGCCACCTTTGAAGTGACATACATGATTAGTGGCTACCATATTGGGCAGCACAGATGTACACCTTTTCCCGCTCTCTTGACAGTGCTTCTCTGGAATTTGTAAGCCATGAATCTTAGACAGCTCTAACTTTGGAATGTTTAAAATCACTAAGTTTTAACTTCTTTTTTCCTCTTTATTCATTTAGCCAAAACTCATTTTATATAATTTAAAGTAAATATAATATGCCTTTTGGTTTTAGACAAAAAACAGAAATGACTTTCATGGTATCAAGAAAGTAACTGATTAACAACTATTGGAACATGAGCTTCCATATTCATTGGAAGCTTTATCATGGGAAGTTAAAATATTGCCTTATATGAAGATTTTACGAAAATGGTATAAACAGCGGAAATCACATTTATTGAGTAGCCTGCATGTGCCAGGCACTGAGTGCTTTGCGGTTGAAGCTCAGGAAAGTTAAGTAAATTCCACAGAAGTGTGGCTGGTGCTGGTGTTTGAACCCAGACCTGTGTGACGACTTCAAAGCCTTTGCTTTCCTGTTAGGCTGTGCTGCTTCCCATTTGCTGAAGACTGTGGCAAGTATTTTACGTGTTTCATCTTAGGAAGCTGTAACTCCCTAAAGATGTATGCTGAGACACCATGTTCATTTAAATAAGACAAGTCATCAATTTTCCTTAAAATAAGAAATATTTAATACAGGCTTTTTTTTCCTTAAGAAATATGTGGAAGAAGAGGAAAATTGTCAATAATTCGATTACAATTTGTTAGACCAGTATTAATAGGATTTCTATTATTTAGGAATACTGAGATTTTATCTATGAAGCTGCTATTGTGATATTAATATAATTTTTATATCGTCAACTGTCAGTTTGATGACTGCTAAGAATTACAGGTTTGTTTGAAGGTTATTTTTGCAAGACAGTGCAACAGATTCTGATATCTTTTGATAATTTACATGCCCTTTTTTCAAATTATACTTTCAAGATTACATTTAATGGAACAGAACAAGTTGATAACAATTAGGAATATTCACACAATCTTTATTTTGCACAGGAAAATAAGATTGTCTGGTGAAGGTGGTCAGTTAAACAAACTGTCAGATTATTGAGCAGAGAAAATTCCACTCTTTGTAGCTGCAGGGCAGAGGGGACATTGCCTCCATCTCTTTCCAAGAATCCCATTTGTTAATTATGAAGGTTTGTATTTTTAGGCCAGGATCTGGAATTCCATTTGTTGGCTGTATAATGGACTTGCAGTATTTTCTTTAAAGTTTGATACCATGGTACTTCTCTTTGTTTGCAGGAGACAGATGCTGAGCCCTTACTGTGACACGCTCAGAAGTAACCCACTGCAGCTAACTTGCAGACAGGACCAGAGAGCAGTTGCCGTGTGTAATTTGCAGAAGTTCCCTAAGCCTTTACCACAGGAATACCAGGTAGAACAGGGCTGGGGCACAGTTTCAGGAATCAGCTTTTCAAAAGTAGTCTCCATTTTAACTAAAAGAGTAAATTCTCTTAAGATTCTTAATTTATAAGGCCTTGTTTGTTTTCTGTAAGTTAGAAAAAAATGGAATAATGCTTCCATTTCTTTAAAACTAATGTCCTAATTGATAGCACTTAGTTAAAATCTAGCAGTGTCTTATAATAATGGCAAGAATAATTTGAATATTTGATCTGTTTTTACCTGTTTATGTTTTCTAATTGTTTCCAAAGCCTTGCTATTTAAATTCCTCTAATTTACACAGAAAAAGAAATCTTTAAAGAAAATAACTTAAGTACTCCAATCCAGTTAATTAGAAGACTTGGAAACCCTGCTTTGGAAAAGATTTGATTCATGGGATCTGAAAGATTAAGGAAATGGTCCCACATATCTTGTCTGGATCTCTGATTTGACCTTTATGTTTCTTTTTATCTTTTATCTTTTTTTCCGAGACCGAGTCTCACTCTGTCGCCCAGGCTGGAGTGCAGTGGTGAGATCTCAGCTCACTGCAGCCTCCCCTTACCAGATTCAAGCGATTCTTGTGCCTCAGCCTCCCGAGTAGCTGGGTTTACAGCTGCAAGCCACCATGCCTGGCTAATTTTCATATTTTTAGTAGAGTTGGGGTTTCGCCATGTTGCCCAAGCTGGTCTTGAACTCCTGGCCTCAAGTGATCCATCTGCCTCGGCCTCCCAAAGCGCTGGGATTACAGGTGTGAGCCAACATGTCTGGCTACTTTTTGTATTTCTAATAGAGACAGGGCTTCACCATGTTGGCCAGGCTGGTCTCAAACTCCTGACCTCATGTGATCTGCCCGCCTCAGCCTCCCAAAGTGTTGGGATTACAGGCGTGAGCCACCATATGCCTGGCCATGACCTTTAAGTTTCTTGTTGCCAAAGCTATCTTTAAAAAGCCTCAACTTTACCTGCCATTTATAAAGGAACCTTTTGTCAGAAATGATGTCTCAGAAGCTAATTTAAAATAAAGCTGCTGAATTTTAAGCTTCCTACACATATTTGTGAGCTCACTGAATGCTTCAGATACCATAAAATAGTAACTATATTCATAGGCATAGTGATATAACTCAATAAGTTGGTGGAAAACGTGACATCTTTAAAAATTTATCTGGTGCATCCAGGGGTGTGAAAACACATACAATTATTTTATTTTTATTTATTTATTTTTGGAGATGGAGTCTTGCTGTGTCACCAGGCTGGAGTGCAGTGGTGCAATCTCGGCTCACTTCAACCTCTGCCTCCCAGGTTCAAACTATTCTCCTGCCGCAGCTTCTCAAGTAGCTGGGACTACAGGTGTGCGCCACCACACCCAGCTAATTTTTGTATTTTTTTTTTTTTTTTTTTTTTTTTTTTTTTTAGTAGAGACGGGGTTTCACTATATGTTGGCCGGGCTGGTCTTGAACTCCTGACCTCAGGTGATCCGCCCACCTCAGCCTCCCAAAGTGCTGGGATTACAGGCGTGATCCACCATGCCCGGCCATAAAATTAATTTTAAAAAAAAGGAACAATAAAATTTATCTGGTGCCTTGTACCTTTGGTATTCAAAGTATATTATATATATGATCTCATTTATTTTCTCAGATTTTAATTTTTTCAAGTTTGTCAAAACAACGTATAAACTGCCTCCTAAAAACTCTTGAAAAATTTATTTAAAATGTTGTAACTTTATGCATTAGTTCTGTGTTTTGTCAGCTCTTAAAACTTCTTTTTGCTCAGTGTAATTAAAACTACATGCTGTTAAAACATTAGTCTAATTTAACATTATGATATATAACTTAAGACTCATTTACTTACCTTGCTTATTTGTAAAACTGTAGCAACCTTTAACTACTCCTCTGGTGGTTTATTACTGTGTTCTTTATTTGGTGCCATTGATGAAGAAAGGTACATTAGTATCTTGTGTTATGTGGCATTAAAGGGTTGCGAGAAATTGCCTGTGCACTTCCTCAATTTTATACAGAATGTTTCTTACTTTCTTGTCTTCCCAATATTTTTTCTGCAGTACTTTGATGAACTCAGTGGAATACCTGCAGAAGATTTGCCTTATTATGGTGGCTCCGTGGAAATTGCTGACTACTGCCCTTTCAGTCAGGAATTCAGTTGGCATTTAAGTGGTGAATATCAGCGCAGCTCAGATTGTAGAATATTGGAAAATCAACCAGGTTAGTCGGCTAGTGAAATGAAGTATTATATACATATTAAAATTATGTATTAGCAATATAGAATCGTGGTTAAGGGCACAGACCCTAGAGCAGGACTGTCTGAATTTGCTTTATAGTTCAGCTGCTATCCATATGTAAGAAGTGACTTAACTTTTCCCTGCCTGTTTCTTCATCTGTACGATGGAGGCAATACTTAGAGAGTTGTGAGAATTAAATGAATTAATGTAGTAAGTGCTTACAATTGTGCCTGACCCATCGAAGGGATTATTCGCGTATGCATGCACACACGCTATATTTTGGTCATACCTTCTAGCTGCACGGCACTTTCCATTTGCAAAGCACTTTCATTCTTAACATTTTATTCTTCTGAAAACATGATGAGAAACATAAGGAAGATATTACTGTATTTCCCAGATAGGCGGATAGATACTAAGTGATATAGTTAAATTTGTGTCAGTGCAAGATCCTCCAATGCCATCCTCTTTTTATTAAAATACCTCAGATAAGCTGCTTTTTCCTCTTGTGGGGAATGTGCATTTTATGTAAGATAGAAGCAACATGTCACTCTTCAGATAGCAAAACAATGTTCTTGTCTCATGGCCAGTAAGATATACCACCATATTATTTGTTTCTTCTTAATACATATAAATGAACAAGATATCAAAGGAATAAACAGTATGGCAATTGGGTATTCTGCAATAATAGTTACAGCTCATACTAATTACCTTTGTAAACAGAAATGTTCTCACATCTGATGTAAGAAAGAGCAGTAAGTAGTTTTTCTCTCTGTGTTCATCAGAAGTTTTAACCTAGTCTCCAAACCCCCACCCCATTCCATACTTTATTACAGACTAAGGCATTTACATTCTAAATTTTTGTATTCTTACCTTTTACTCTTAAACTTGGCAGATGTAACTGGATTCCTGCAGTCATTTTTCCCCATCATTCATCTATTCAATAAATGTCCTGGCCAGGCGCAGTGGCTCACGCCTGTAATCGCAGCACTTTGGGAGGCCAAGGCAGGTGAATTGCTTGAGCTCAGAAGTTTGAGGCCAGCTGAGCAACATGGTGAAACCCTGTCTGTATCAAAAATCCAAAAAATTAGCCAGGTGTGATGGTGCACACCTGTGGTCCCAGCTATGGAGGAGGACGAAGCCAGAGGATTGCTTGAGCAGCCCAGGAGGCGGAGTTTGCAGTGAGTCGAGATCATGCCCCTGCACTCCAGCCTGGGCAACACAGTGAGACCCCATGTCACATAAAAATAATAAATAAATAAATATCCTAACAACTTATAACCACTCAGCAGTTCCATATTAAAGCAAAAGAAATGCACAGATCTGTCAGTTATGGATTTGCCAGAGATGTACTATCACATGTTATTGTTTTAGAGCTGGAGCTGGCAAACGTTTTTTGTTAACGGGGAAAATTATAAATATCTGGGGCTTTGTGGGTCATAAGGTCTCTAGCTTTCTGATTCAGCTCAGCCGTTACCGTCTGAAAGCAGTTACAGACAGTATGTACGTGAATGAATGTGCCAGGATTTGGCCTGAGGGTTGCAGTTTGCTGAATTCTGTTTTATTATTATTATTATTATTATTTTTAGAGACAAGGTCTCACTCTGTCACCCAAGTTGGAGTGCAGTGGCACCATCATAGCTCACTGTAACCTGTAACTCCTGGGCTCAAGTGATTCTCCTGCCTCAGACTCCCCAGAGCCAGGACTACAGGCATGCACCTCCACACCTGACTAATTTTTAAAAATTTTTGTAGAGATGAGGCTTGCTATGTTACCCAGACTGGCCTCAAACTCCTGGCCTCAAGCGGTCCTTCCTCCTTGGCCTCCCAAAGTGTTGAAATTATAGGCTTGAGCCACCACATCCAGCCCTGAACCCCATTTTAGACACTGATCACTATAGTTTTGAAAGACTCTGATACTCAAAAGAAGTAAAGAATTCTGTTTTATTCTAATTTGCATTTTTTAGCTTATATAATTCAGATTTATCAAAACTGGCATAAAACACTTATCTTTATAATATTTTAAAATGGGCTAATTGAACTCTCTACTTCCCCAAAGACAACTTATTGTAAAGAGTCTAAAGAGAGCAAATTACTGCTCGGGTTTAAGAGCTTTGTCCCTTTGTCCATTAGAGGCCTTTCATTCCTCTGCAGGTTTGTGCATACTGTGAGATTAGATCAGCATCTTACTAGGTTGGTGGAAGAGTAATTGTGGTTTTGCCGTTAAAGTAATGCGAAAACCGCAATTACTTCTGCACCAGCCTAATATTTGTGGACTTCCAGGAGGTGGCACAAGTTGAAGATATAAGAAAGTTTTCAAATGTTGCAACACCCCCCAAAAGTCTGCATTATATAAATCACTTGGCCTCATCCTATCATGAGTAATTTGGAGGTGCCTCCTATTTAGACCACCAGTGAAGATGATTTTATCTTGGTGTCTAGTGATCTAACGATTCTTAGTGCTAGTTCTTCTATATATTTAACCTAGAAAACGTTGGGCCCAGTTTTATTCCCTTGTGTCTGATGCAGTAATTTTCTCCCATTAATTCCTTTATTAAGAACCTAGTGTGAGTTTGGAACCCTGTGGATCCTAATTTTTTTTTTTTTTTTTTTTGAGACGGAGTCTCTCTCTGTCGCCCAGGCTGGAGTGCAGTGGTACAATCTCGGCTCACTGCAAGCTCCGCCTCCCGGGTTCACGCCATTCTCCTGCCTCAGCCTCCCGAGTAGCTGGGACTACAGGCGCCCGCCACCGCGCCCGGCTAATTTTTTGTGTTTTTAATAGAGACGGGGTTTCACCACGTTAGCCAGGATGGTCTCCATCTTCTGACCTCGTGATCTGCCCACCTCAGCCTCACAAAACCCTGGGATTACAGGCGTGAGCCACCGTGCCCAGCCTACCCTAATTTTTTAAATTTAAAATTTCCATGAAACATGTCTGATTTTTAAAGCAACTTTTAATCATAAAAATGGAATGGTTCAGTTTCTTGTTCTTTGAGCCAAAAGTCAATTTTTAAGGAGACTTTTCTTCTTTGCCTCAGAAATTTTTAAGAACTATGGCGCTGAAAAGTATGGACCTCATTCCGTTTGTCTAATTCAGAAATCAGCATTCGTTATGGAGAAGTGTGAGAGGAAGCTGAGTTACCCAGACTGGGGAAGCGGATGCTATCAGGTAAGCTTATGTTTGTTATTAGTTGTGCCAAATATTATGTGATTTTATCTCTTTTATGGTTTTGTATTTTAAATTATATTTTCATATTTTATGTCATTAATTTACTGATCAATACTGTATCTTGTTTATGTAAATATTAGTTTGGATGCTTATGTTTTATGAAAATATTGTCATTTCTTTAGAAAAAGTGCCTCTTAAAAATATATATGTAATTACTGTAATGTTACTTCTGGGCATATATTCTGAGGAAGTAATGGTAAATAGGTAATTTTGTTCTTGAGCAAATATTACTTTGTAATGGAAAACATGTCAATTTTATTTCAAAAGGTCTGAGGACCTCATGGGTTATAAGAATTAGTAAATCAGGCTGGACGTGGTGGCTCACGCCTGTAATCCCAGCACTTTGGGAGGCTGAGCCAGGAGGATTGCTTGAGCCCAGGATTCGAGACCATCCTAGGCAACAAAGCGAGACCCTGTCTCCAAAAAATAAAGGAAAAAGAATAAATCAGTTGCTGATTAATAATAGAGTGTTTTTTCCTTTGTAATTAGAAATCCAAAAAGGGCAAACTACAATTTTTTTTCCTTTTTCTTTTTCTTTTTTTTGAGACAAGGTCTTGCTCTGTCAGCTAGGCTGGAGTGCTGCTGCAGTCACGGCTCATTATATCCTCTACCTCCTGGGTTCAAGCGACCTTCCCACCTCAGCCTCCTGAGGAGCTGGGACTACAGTGTGCACCACACACCCGACTAAGTGTTTGATTTTTTGTAGAGAAGAGGTCTCACTATGTTGCCCAGGCTAGATTAGAACTTCGGGGCCCAAGCAATCCTCTTGCCTTGGCCTCCCAAAGTACTGGGATTATAGATGGCGGCCACCATGCCTCGCCTACTATTTCCTTAATTATCTTATTTGCACATCTGATATTATATGACATCACCTTATTAAGGACTTATAAAGATGTAGCCATTCTGTGACTTAGGAGCATCCAATGGAATGAATCTTCTGCACCCTACAAATGGATGTCAGGGAGGACAGCGTAAGCCTGAGAAATGCAGAATCAGCATTCCTGTGCCATTTCAGCTGCAAGAGCTAAACGGACCTTTAGAACTGGAAATTTAACTCTTATCATTAGTTACTTATCAAATTAACGTTTTTTTTGGTAACTGCTTTTCTTCTTTTCTGTTTTTTTTTGAGACAGGGTTTTGCTCTGTCACCCAGGCTAGAGACAATGGTGCGATCACGCTCACTGCAGCCACGAACTCCCAGGCTCAGGCGATTCTCCCACCTCAGCCATCTGAGAAGCTGGGACTACAGGTGCACACCACCACACCTGGCTGATTTTTCTTATTTTTTGTAGAGACAGGCTTTTGCCATGCTACTCAGGCTGGTCTTGAACTCCTGGGTTCATGTGATTCACCTGCCTCAGCCTCCCAAAGTGCTGGGACTACAGACATGAGCCACTTTGCCTGACCTGGTAATAGCACTATCAAGATATATTTTACATACCATACAATTTATGTAAAATTAACTTTTTTTTTCATTTTTCCTCTTTTGAGACAGGGTCTTACTCTGTCACCCAGGCTGGAGTGCAGTGGTGCGATCTCAGCTCTCTGCAACCTCCACCTCCCGGTTCCAGAGATTCTTGTGCCTCAGCCTCCTGCACAGCTGGAATCACAGGCATGCGCCACCATACCCAGCTAATTTTTGTATTTTTAGTACAAAAATTGACCAGGCTGGTCTCAAACTCCTGGCCTAAACTGATCCTCCTGCCTCAGCCTCCCAAAGTGCTGGGATTATAAGCATGAGCCACCAGTCCTGGCCGAATATTTCTTTTCTTTCTGTAACAAGATATTCTAAGCTCACTTTGTTCTTTGTCTACCCCTGACGTGGAATTAACCGTTTCTCCAGAGGCCCCTAGTTACTTTTAATGGAGTATGGTGTTTAGAGACTAAGATCTGGGCGGTAATTATACTGTTGATTGCTTTTGGTGGAGTGTTTGGTGTTAGAGACTAAGATCTGGGCGCTAATTATACTGTTCATTGCTTTTAGTGGAGTGTGGTGTTAGAGACTAAGATCTGGGTGGTAATTATACTGTTGATTGTCATTGATAATAACATTTGGGAATTGGGAATACCAGCTCATCAGGCCCTCTTAGTAAGGTAGGAAATGTATGTATATGTATCAGTACACTCTCCTGTGAGTGCGTGTGTGTGTGTGTAAGTAATCATGAGTTTGCATCAGTAAGGTTGGTTTGATTCCATCGGTTGGAGACCTTGTCTGATACCAAAGCATTTATTTTAGTTTTCCACCTTTTCACATATGTACTTCCTTCACCAACAGTGAGAAGTCCAGCTGCTGTCATCTCAGCATGTTTACTCATCTGATCTATCCACATCCCGTCCACTTTCTCCCACTCCCATTACCCTCGTCACCCGGCCAACTCTGCGTGACCTCCCGGTCACACACCTCCCCCACCCCTCCAAACAGATCACCTACCTTGCCTCACTTAACGGCTTTAGACGTAATTGCTTTTGAGGAAGGGGAAAGGAGAAAGGGAGGGATCACTGGGCTTTTTTTTCTTAAAATTGTGGCAAAATATATATAACATAAACATTTCCATTTTAACTGTTTTTACGTGTATAGTTAAGTGGCACTAAATACATTCACGTTGTCATGCACATTGCCACCGAGCGTCTCAGAAACTCTGTACTCACTAAACAATCCCTCCCTCTTCCTCCTCCCCCAGCCCTGACAGCCTCTATTCTACGTCCTCTCTCTGTGGATTTGCCTAATCTAGATAGTCCTTATAAGTAGAATCATACCATGTTTGTCCTTTTGTACCTGACTCCTTTTACTTAGCGTGGCATTCTCAGGGTTCATCCACATTGTGCCATGTATCAGAACAGTATTCCTTACGGTGTTCCTTTATGTCTCAATAACACTCCATTGTATGGATCTGTCACGTTTTGAATCAGTTGATGGACACTTAGGTCGTTTGTGTCCACCTCTTGGCTATTGGAGTCTTGCTGCAGCGAACACTGGCTTCCGCGTATCTGTCTGAGTCCCTATTTTCAGTCTACTCAGCAGTAGAATTGCTGTATCATATGGCAATTCTATGTTTAGCTTTTTTAGGAACTACCAAACTAGGTTTTTTGTTGTTGTTGTTGAGGGGTTTTTGGTGTTATTTTGAGGTTTCTTTTTTATTATTATTAATAGACTTTATTTTTTAGAGCAATTTTAGGTTCACAACAAATTTAAGTGGAAGGTACAGAGAGTTCCCATATACCCCTGCTCCACACACTCGTGGCCTTCCGCACCGTCAGCATCCTGTACCACAGAGGCATTTTTGGTACAATCGATGAACCCACATCATCATCCAAAGTCCATGTTCACATTAGGGTTCACTCTGGGTGTTTTCAATGAACCGACATCATCATCCGAAGTCCATGTTCACATTAGGGTTCACTCTGGGTGTTTCGATGAACCGACATCATCATCCGAAGTCCATGTTCACATTAGGGTTCACTCTGGGTGTTCTACATTCTGTGGGCTTTGACACCTGTAGGATATTCGTCCATAAGATAAATGAGTTGTTGAAATGGACTTTGTTATAAGTTAAAGATTGGCTATCTGTGGCTAAATAATTGCTGAGACTAACATAAATAAGAATAAATGAAATAAAAAGTGGGATGAAATACTTCAGGTGAAAGTTCAAAGGGAAACTGTATTATCTCTGTACAAAAGAGACCTTTAAGCGTGTGTTTTCATGTCAACCCTTTGTGTTCTTAACATGTTTTTCCCTGATGAAACTGAGATCATGGACCTTATCATATCACCTTTTGTGCTGATGGCACCTTTTAATATAAATTTTTAAGTAATTTATATATTGATTAAATAAGTCAGCAATTCACATGGTGAAAAATTCAAAAGATGCAAAAGAATGTACAGGGTACAGGAAAAGCCTTTCCCAGCCCCGTCTTTTAGTCACTCACTTCTCCCTTCGGAGGGAAGTAATATTACCAGTTTCTTGCATCCTTCTAAAGATAAACTCTGTGCAGGCACAAATTTATATTTTTGTTTCATTTTTTACACCAATAGTATCAAGTTACACATACTGTTCTGTGGTGTGTATTAAAGAGTCGTTCTTAGTATCATCTTACATCATTCCAGCCCCATGTCTGAACTGGCTGTGGACGTCTCAAGTACATTTGGTTGTACTTTGATCATTCTGAATTCAGTTCCTCCAAAATCCAGTTTAGGAGCCCTCTCTCAACAACGCTGCATTTCGGCTGTGTTGCTTCCAGCACTGGTCCCAGTCTCTCTAATTAGAAACCAGAATGATCATTTTCTACTCTCTGTTCTATAAAGACGGTCAATACAGACTAAGTCTTTAGATTACTCTCCTATTGAAATCTCTTATATCTATTTTATTTTAGGTTTACCTTCATAGTTCAAGCCATTATCACTTCACAGTTTCCTAACTAATTTCCCTCCTCTCATCTTACTTCCATGACCACGTTGATCCTTTTAAAATTTTAGTTTTGATCAAACTTTTACATGCAAATAGTTTGAAACAAATTTGTTGTCTGCTTCCAAAAAACTACAGCCTCAGGCCAGGCGCTGTGACTCATGCCTGTAATCCCAGCACTTTGGTTGGCTGAGGCTAACACTTGAGGTCAGGAGTTCGAGATCAGCCCAGGCAACATGGTGAAACCCTGTCTCTACTAAAAATACAAAAATTAGCCGGGCATGGTGGCCGCCTGCCTGTGATCCCAGATATTCAGGTGGCTGAGGCATGAGAATCGCTTGAACCTGGGAGATGGAGGTTGCAGTGAGCCAAGATCGCACCACTGCACTCCAGCCCGGGCAATGGAGTGAGACTACATGTAAAAACAAACAAACAAACAGAAAAACACACAAAAAACTAGAGCCTCTGTTATTACTTCCCTAATGTTTATTACTTCTTCCCAGAGTCTTCACTTTCAATTCTTAGTTGTTGTTTTGTTGGGGGTGGAGGAGTCAGGGGAGACTTACTATTTGCTTTCTTATTTTTTTTTATTATTATTACTTTTTTGAGATAGATTCTTGTTCTGTCTCCCAGGCTGGAGTGCAGGTGGCATGATCCCTCGGCTCACTGCAACCTCCGCTTCCCAGGTTCAAGTGATTCTCCTGCCTCAGCCTCCCAAGTAGCTGGGATTATAGGCGCCCGCCACCATGCCTAGCTGTTTTTTTTTATTTTTAGTAGAGACAGGGTTTCACCATGTTGGCCAGGCTGGTCTCAAAATCCTGACCTCAAGTGATCTGCCTGCCTGGGCCTCCCAAAGTGCTGGGATTACAGGCGTGAGCCACTGCACCTGGCCTGCTTTTTTATTTTTAAAAAGCTTATATTATTCTTTCATAAGGTTTGAATTTCAAATGTTAGCTGTTGACTTTGGAAAATAAGAATTTAGTTGGTTCGCCTCGTCCTCTTGCTGTGTTCACTTCCTCTTTCCCCATCGTACACTTCTTGTTTCCCATCCTCCCAGTGGTGATTATGGATAAATACGTATTCACTGTTTACATTACCAGGACTATGCAGACGTGGCGCCTGGTAGCATGCAATCATTACTTCCCCGTTCTCCCCAGTATTTCGTTTTCTCTGGATTTAAGACCTTGTTTTTTTGCAATTAGTTTTCTTTGTATTTAGCACTAATTCAATTCTAAGCTCTTCTCCCAGTTGGGCTCATCTCCTTTCAGTAGAACCAGATACCTGAGGTATTCTATCCATTTCATCTTGAGGAAATCTCTTCTGGACATTTCTGGCCTGTGCTAATCTCGACTATATAATCCTTATGTTGGCAGCACAGCTGGCATCTTGGGATCTCGAGTCAGGATCATCCTGGAGGTCCCTCTGGTCCCTCTGTCTCTCTCATATTGGATCCCCTCCTTCATGGATTTTGTGTCATATTCTTTTTTGGATTTTTTTTATTTTAATGGAACATATCTTCTAGTGGAGATTTGAGGAGTATGTGACGGAGAACAATGTTGAGACTTGCATGTCTGAAAGCATCACTGTTCCACTGTGACGCCTGCTGACAGCGTGGGAAGGCGGGACTTCATCTCTGCCCTCAGGGTCTTCAGCTAGTTTCCACCGTGATGTGACGCCTGCTGACAGCGTGGGAAGGCGGGACCTCACCTCTGCCCTCAGGGTCCTCAGCTAGTTTCCACCGTGACGCCTGCTGACAGCGTGGGAAGGCGGGACCTCACCTCTGCCCTCAGGGTCCTCAGCTAGGCCTGAGAATGAAATAGGCATAAGCCCGATGAACAGGAGGAAAACATACACATTTATTTAATCTAAGTTTTACATGACACAGGAGCCCACATGAGTAAATGAAAACTCAAAGAAGTGTGAAACCTATATACTTTTATACTACATTGAACAAAGGGAGACAGTTACAGAAAAGTAAAATGTATGCGGAGGCTAAAGGAAGATAAGAATTATTTTAAGAAGGTCTGTTTGTACCAAATTCTTTGGCTTTGACTCCCCATATTGGTGATAAAAATGTTTGTTTTCTCCTGGAAAAGGAAGGGTATTATTCATGTGGGAGTTGTGTCTTCTGCTTTCAGGAGGAAGGGGGATGTCAGAACAGTCTTGCTGGGTCTGCTGTGTTGAAGTCCCTTTAGCTGGAAACCTTTGTGCCAAAACAGCACATTTTGGGGTGGCGTGTTCTGCCGTCCTTCAATAGCTTGGGTGGGTATAGCTTTATTTTTGAAAATTATTTTCCTAATGGATGATTGGGTGCAGGAAAAAAAGAAAGAAAATTATTTTCCATCAGAATTCTGAAAGCATTTTTCCTTTGTGTGCTGACTGTCAGTGTCATTCTGAGTTTCAATTGCCAGAATCTTTTTTCTTTCTTCTCTGGAAGCTGTAAATTCTTAATTTTAACTTCGCATACCACATCCTCATCTGCCACAAGCCCCAGTATTCCAAAATTTAATGGGTTGATTCTATTTTTGGTGATCATTAACAGCCTGTTCATATTCAAGAAGTGACTGGAGCCTGGCACAGTGGCTCACACCTGTAATCACAGCACTTTGGGAGCCCGAGACAGGCGGATCACTTGAGGTCAAGAGTTTGAAAGCAGCCTGGCCAACATGATGAAACCCCTCATCTACTAAAAATACAAAAATTAGCCCGGTGTGGTGGTGGGCGCCTGTAATTCCAGCTACACAGGAGGCTGAGGCATGAGAATCACTTGAACCCAGGAGGTGGAGGTTGCAGTGAGCTGAGATGACACTATTGTACCACAGCCTGGGCGACAGAGTGAGACTCTGACTCAAAAAAAAAAAAAAAAGAAAAGAAAAGTGCCTGGAAGCCAGTTTGGAAGCTCTGAGCACACACATAGGGCTTGTTGACTGTGGTCTCCCTATGGGGCTCCTTTCTTACAAAACCTTTGATGTCCGTCCTTTTGACGGGTCAGATTGGTCAGAGAAACTGCCAGTGACCCGCCTAAGTTTATATGCTGTCAGAGTTCTAGGAAGGAAGTCGATTTTGAATGCTTTAACCTGTAAACTTCGAGTCCTTATTTTCATGATGGCATCCCAGCTCTCTGCTGTACTTAGTTTTCCCCAGAACAGAAAAACTCTGTTTTACCCTTTCCAAAAAATAAATCTCCAGTATGCTGGTGTATTAGTCCATTTTGCGTTGCTGTAAAGGAGTATCTGAGGCTGGGTAATTTATAAAGAAAAGAGGTTAATTTTGGCTTACAGTTCTGCAGACTACAGGAAGCATAAGTGCTGTCATCGGCTTCTGGTGACGGCTCAGGAAGCTTACAGTCATGGCGGAAGGCAGAGTGGGGGCAGGCTTATCACATAGAGCGGGAACGAGAGAGGAGGGAGCTCCCGACCTCTTGAACAAGCAGATCTCTGGGGAACTTATTCCTGTGGGGAGGGCACCAAGCTATTCATGAGGGATCCATCCCCATGACCCAGACACCTCTCACTAGGCCCCACATCCAACACTGGGAATCATATTTCAACAGAAGATTTGGACAAATACCCAAACTATATCAGCTGGGTTCGGAACGAACTGGTCCAGCTGGTCGCAGTGAGGGAGAGGAATGCTGGCGTCTGTCTCTGAAACAGACGTTTGTCTAATCCTTTTGATTGTAGCTCTTACTTCTTGGTACCAGGTGTGGCTGTGGCAGTCCTGAGCCCTCTTGTGTTCTGCAGATCAGTTTCTTCCTGGCTCTTCCTGTTGCTGGATTTTGATCCAGCTTTCCTGAGTCTGTTATGTCTGCTGCTACCTGTACATCTACCCTCCTGCCCACACTTAATTCCCAGAATTCCACAATGAGAATACTTCAACTTCAGCAAGGGAGTTTTCCTCTTGTCCTATCAACACTCTCATATAATTCTCATCTCTAAGCCATGTGCATTCTGCTTCCCAACCTGTAACATCTGCCCGGCAGTAGTCCAAATCCTGTGTACATCCTTAGGATGCAAATGCTGTCTTCCATGAAAGTTTCTAATATTTGTTCTTGTTTCTACCATTTATTGACTCTTAATCATAAAATAGTCTGGTACTGTTCATTTTTTGCTTTTTCTTCTAATTTCAAAATACAGTTAGTATTTTATAAAAAAAATTATTATTTTTATTATCTTTTTTTTTTGAGATGGAGTCTCACTCTGTCACCCAGGCTGGAGTGCAGTGATGGGATCTCAGCTCACTGCAACCTCGGCCTCCTGGGTTCAAGTGATTCTTATGCCTCAGCCACTCGAGTAGCCCACCATTACGCCTGGCTAATTTTTGTATTTTTAGTAGAGACGGGGTTTCACCAGGTTGGCCAGGCTGGTCTCGAACTCCTGACCTCAGGTGATCCACCTGCCTTGGTGTCCCACAGTGCTGGGATTACAGGCATGAGCCGCTGTGCCCGGCTGAAAAAAATTTTTATATCCTACTCCTCTTTCCTCAATTGAAACTGCTAGAGGGCAGGCACTGTATTGTGTACTTTTTTAGTGTCCTTTTCAGCGCCAAGCACGGCGCTTGATCAAGTCTCGCTTTAAAGAATAATGATGTTGCACTGTAGCTGTGGTGATGCTTACTTGATGTGGATCACGGAGTGACAGAGAAGAGGTCACACTTCATTGTTTGTTTTTGTGATATCTTAAAACAAATGTTCAAAAGAGTGATATATTTCAACTTAACTGATGATAGAGTTATTTCAAAATGACTTCAAATATACTTTTGAAATTATCTTTGGTAGTTTAATAGTCACCTAAGGAAATCAATCTTAGTAATTTTGTGTCACACGTTGTCTTAACCAGGTTAGTCAACTACCTTTGCTGGACTTGCTTCTGGGCAACCTTGGGCTATTTCCAAAAATTATATCTACTTGCTACTTAAAAATTTGCTACCATCAGACAGGTTCAGAAGCATGCACTGACTTTGAAGATAGGTCCAAGAGAGAAGTTTCAGAAGTGTTTAAAGGGAAGTAGCATAATTGAATGTGAAGTCTTTGTAGAAAACAACTTTGAGGTTTTTTTTAAAATAGTTAAAATTTTTGGCTGGGTGCGGTGGCTCACGCCTGTAATCCTAGCACTTTGGGAGGCCGAGGCGGGCAGATCACCTGAGGTCAGGAGTTCAAGACCAGCCTGGCCAACATGGTGAAACCCCATCTCTACTAAAAATACAAAAATTTAGCTGGGTGTGGTAGCACAGGCCTGTAGTCCCAGCTACTTGGGAGGCTTAGGCACGAGAATTGCTTGAACCCATGAGGCAGAGGTTGCAGTGAGCCAAGATCATGCCACTGCACTCCAGCCTGGGCAACAGAGTGAGACTTGGTCTAAAAAAAATAAATAAATTAAAATTTTAAAAAATTACTATTTCTAAATGTTTTAAAAGTTAGCATTAATGTGTTTTCTTTTGCTTTTAAAAACTGATTTCATTAGCTATCACGTGCAAATGAGCTATGAGTCTTGCCTTTAAAGATAAGGTCTGGATAAAATTCCTGTGACTGAGCAGAGCATTTAGGGTTAGGGAGAAAGAATGAAGAACTTGTGCTGTGTGGCGTTTCTATGCTGTATAAATTCTTGTTTGTTTATAATAAACATTTTTATAATTTCAAACCCCAATTAAAATTTGACTTATGGCCAGGTGCAGTGGCTCAAACCTTTAATCCCAACACTTTGGGAGGCCAGGGTGGGTGGATAACTTGAGTCCGGGAGTTCGAGACCAGCCTAGGCAACATGACAAAACCCAAACCCCATCTCTACAAGAAAATACAAAAATTAGCCAGGCATAGTGGCACATGCCTGTAGTCCCAGCTACTCAGGAGGCTGAGGTGGGGGGATCATCTGAGCCCAAGGTACTCAAAGCTGCAGTGAGCCAAGATCGCCACTGTATTCCAGCCTGGGCAACAGAGCAAGACCCCATCTCAAAAAAAAAAAAAAAAAGCTGTATGTGTGTGCCCCCTTGTAATTTTTGGGAAAAGTGTCCATAGCTTCCATCAGATTCTTAAAAAGGTGCTAGATTCAAAGTTTAAGAACTCCTGCCACACAGAGTGTAATTCTTTTAGGACCTAAATAACCCTCTTTTGGTTTTTTTTTTTTTTTTTTTTGACACGGAGTCTCGCTCTGTTGGCAGGCTGGAGCGCAGTGGCATGATCTCGGCTCACTGCAACCTCTGCCTCCCAGGATCAAGCGATTCTCCTGCCTCAGCCTCCTGAGTAGCTGGGACTACAGGTGCATGACACCACGCCCAGCTAGTTTTTGTATTTTTAGTAGAGACAGGGTTTCACCATGTTGGCCAGGATGATCTCGATCTCTTGACCTCATGATCTGCCCGCCTCAGCCTCCCAAAGAGTGGGATTACAGGTGTGAGCCACCGCGCCCGGCCAACTTAACTCTTTATATGAGGTTAAAGTTATGCCCACACTGCAAATTGTGCTTTATAGCCAATGTTTTTAGTAAGTTTTAATATATTTTCCTGTAGTTGAAGGAGAAATCTCTTAGAATCTTACTGACCTGATATTTATTATTTTTATATATCTATTTTTTTCCTGTTTGAAGGTTTCTTGTTCTCCTCAAGGTCTGAAAGTTTGGGTCCAAGATACTTCATATTTGTGTAGTCGGGCTGGGCAGGTCCTCCCTGTCAGTATCCAGATGAATGGCTGGATTCACGATGGAAACCTGCTCTGCCCATCATGTTGGGACTTCTGTGAGCTCTGTCCTCCAGAAACAGATCCTCCAGCCACTAACCTGACCCGAGCTCTGCCACTTGGTGAGTGCTCTCTATGGTTGGAATAAAGAGGGAAAAGTGAAGGAGGTGAACTTCTCTTATAAAATGTTGGCATTTCCCTTCAAGGAAGCTCTAAAACAAGTTGAGTTTCTTCTCTGCTGATTGCATTTTTATGGGAAGTTCCTCCTTCCCACCATTATCGGAAATCTAAGGTAGGTCAACTTGACACTTTTGAGTAAGAGCAAGGGTGAGGAACCTTTCTGGTGAAGAACCTCTGAGTTGCACAGAATTATTCATCAAAGATCACAAAAAGTGAACGTTGTATCCATTCATTTGGAAATTAAGGGTAAACAAAATTCTGCTCATTAAATACAAAAAGTAATTAAATATATTTTAGTCATATCATAATCAGCTGAAGTGAAAGTGAGGGAAAGACCTGGAAAAGATACCGAAAAAAGGAATTGGCATACCCACAAAGAGGAGAAAGATGCAATAACACACATGCGAAATGAGACAGAGAGATGTGGGCTGGCAAAGACCGGGGGGTTCATTGAGGAATAGGACCGAGTGCTCGTTCTGTGAGACTCCAGAGAATGGAACTGGCACCAAGAGATTGAAGTTATGAGGAGACAGATGCCAATTAAACCCTTTAGAAGCAGGAGGGGAATGCAGAAAACACCCTTGAGAAGAACGCCTTCCCCATGAAATTGACGGTGTTCAAACTGAGGCTGATAATGCATTGCTGAGAGTATAAAAGCAGAATTCATCAATTCACAATTAAAATTTTGATTTAAATGACCTATGAGATTTTTATGGCAGTTTGACATTTCAGATTATGAACAATAAAAATCTTATGCAATGTTTCATTTTCTCAACTAGAGGTGTTTTTTAGGTGGAACTGCATTGCCCTTTGCCTAGTCCATGGTGTGATGTGATTGAAAATAGAGGGCCACACTCAGTTTTCAAGTCAAAGTTTCTCCACCTCTAAGATTAACTTCCCTTCTTTTCCAAATCCTGAGGACCTCATCCCCTAGGGGCTGTAGGCAGAGGATGAGTTTTGGAAGATGAGTACTTGTGTTGGGGGTCCCCAGGAGCACCTTAAATTTGTTGGTTCACCAGAAGGACTCACAGGACTCAGCTGCTCATCATAGTACTCATGGCTAAGATTTGTTAAAGTGAAATGATGCAGAGCAAAATCAGCAATGGGAAGAGGTGCGTGGGGCAAAGTTGTGAGGAAACCAGTTCCCAGCCACCAGCAAAGGCCCTCCTTGCATGCAGAACTTTCTAAAGATAGCAGTTTCAGGCCTGCTGTATTAACTCTGCTCTACACAGTACTCCAAGTGAGGCAGCTGAGTTTTCTGCAGTTACAATCATAATGACACAATTAATTTTATTTGATATAAAATCTTAGGTCAAGGCAGGTGGATCACTTGAGGTCAGGAGTTCAAGATCAACCTGGCCAACATGGTGAAAACTCATCTCTACTAAAAACACAAAAATCAGCCACATGTGGTGGTATGCATCTGTAATCCCAGCTACTCAGGAGGCTGAGGCAGGAGAATCACTTGAACCCGGGAGGCGGAGCCAAGATCACACCACTGCACTTCAGCCTGGGCAATAGAATGAGACTCTGTCTCAAAATAAATAAATAAAAGCTCATCTTTATTGTTTAAAATATTTAAAAGGGCAACTCATCCTAAAATAAGGTCAGGTTGGCCTCATCTCCCTACTGCTATAAAAATATTTCCATTATGAGAACTGTTTTAACCTATGAGGACACCTCATGGCTGAATTAAAATATACCTCTAGTGCCCAAAATCTGTAGAATCTTCTGCTGTTTCAAAATCAAGTCTGATTGATTGGTGATATGAATGTATGGGTAGATATTTAGAAATAGGGGACCATATGTTCTGGTCTGCCTGAGACCATCCATATGCCTGTTGTCATTATTAATAGTCCTCTCGCTTGCATCCTCACAGTCCGTCTGCCTATTGTCGTTATTGCTGGTCCTGTCCCTTGCCTCCTCACAGTCTGTCTGCCTGTTGTCGTTATTGATGCTCCTCTCCCTTGCCTCCTCACAGTCCGTCTGCCTGTTGTCATTATTGATGGTCCTCTCCCTTGCATCCTCACAGTCCGTCTGCCTGTTGTCATTATTAATAGTACTCACCCTTGCATTCTCAAAATGTACTAGTTTGTGTTGATAAATTATATGGTCACCCTACTTAGAAGGTACAAAGAAAGAATAAAAGAAGAAAGTTCTTCACCCCATCTCAGAATAACCAAGATCTTTATCTTTGCTGGGGTACTACCCCAAGGCAATTTTTTTTGGATACCATTTTTTAACCTTGACATAGTGGATACATCATTTCTTCCTCCATATATATTTTTCCTCCATTAAAAAAGAAACAAAAACTTTTTTATACCTGGGTTTTGCTCTTGATTTAGCTCTCAAGGTGGTCCTTGTTTACTTTTTAATAATCACTGCTCTTCATCTGTCAATATTTAATTGGTATGATTTATCCCAAAATTGTTTATAGAAAGTCAGTTTTTTGTTTTCAACTCTAGATCTTTGTTCCTGTTCCTCGAGCCTGGTGGTCACCCTCTGGCTTCTGCTAGGCAATCTGTTTCCTCTGCTGGCTGGATTTCTTCTGTGTATATGGCACTAGGAATGGAAAAGTGGATCTTCAAGATATTCTTTTATGTTATGTTCTTGTGAACAAAGCACAAAGTTTGAGTGAGTGCCAACCTATGCAGATGGTAGAAGTGGCATTCCTGGCTTTGGCTTGGAAGAATTGACGACCATCAGACCTTGAAGCAGAACTTCACAGCAGCCTGTCCTCATCAGCAACCCAACCACCTTCATCAGCAACCCAACCACCTTCATCAGCAACCCAACCACCTCGTCAGCAACCCAACCACCTCGTCAGCAACCCAACCACCTCGTCAGCAACCCAGCCACCTTCATCAGCAACCCAACCACCTCATCAGCAACCCAGCCACCTTCATCAGCAACCCAACCACCTCATCAGCAAACCAACCACTTTCATCTGCAACCCAACCACTTTCATCAGCAACTCAACACCTTCATCTGCAACCCAACCACCTTCATCAGCAAACCAACCACCTTCTTCAGCAACCCAACCACCTCATCTTGGAGAAGGAGAAGGAACTGCAAGCCACCAAGTCTTCATTTTTCAGGGTTTGTAATCTTCCCAAAGTTTTCCTTTGAAAATAGGATAATGGGTGGAATTTTCAGAGTGATTACATACCTCAACATTTTTATTAACATACAACAATGGGAAAGTTCATCATCCATATACTGCAGTCACTTAAACAACAGCCAATTATTGCAAGATTAGAATTGGAGATCTTGTCCTCAAAAGTATAAATTGTCCTTTGAGTTATAGAAAATAATGGAATTGGGATTTCTACATATCATTATTATACCTATTTTAAATTTAATGGCAGCCAGGCATGGTTCCAGCTACTTGGGAGGCTGAGGCAGGAGGATCGCTTGAGCCCAGGAGTTCAAGGCTGCAGTGAGCTATGATTGCACCACTGTATTCCAGCCTGCACGATAGAGTTAGACCCTGTATCTTAAAAAAAAAAAAATTAATGGCTGGTATATAGTAAACTTAATTCACTGTTCCCATTGTTCTAAAGAATTTTTTTAAATAATGTTTCATTAAATCTTATGATTTAACCGTGCTTGCCCTTTTTGCCAGCTATGTGGCAGTTTACGGCAGAACTGCTGTCAGTGTGCTGGTAGCCCTCTATTCATCCCTCCTCAGAGCCCAGCTTCCAGAACTGCTATCACTGTGCTGGTAGCCCTCTGTATTCATCCCTCTTCAGAGCTCAGCTTCTGGTTGTATTCTCCATGAGTTTAATAATGACATGAAAAAATGTGGAAGCCGAGAGAGTAAAATACTCTGCCCTGTAAAAACATGGAAGACATGCAAACAGAAAAAAAATAATTGTATTGTTTTAGATAATACTTAAGACAACTGTGAAACAACAAAAACACAACTATTCCTTTGTGACCGATGAAGATAAAAAGAAATTCTGGTAAAGACGGGTATGCAGTTTTTTAAAATGGGTTAAGAAATTGTTGCAGAAGAATTTCTAACATCTGAAAATGGTTTTATGTTTAAGAAGGATGGTCTGAATTGTGTACTAATAGCAAGGTATAAGTTTGGTGTAGAGCCTATCCAGTAGCGTCCACTGTACCACTTTTAAGTAAGACTCAGTCCACAGAAGCTGGAAGATTGCCTTCGCTTTAAATATCCTTTACCTTCTGCATTTGACACTCCTCCTGTTACTACATAGATTCCGGTCCCCAGAAGCAATTTTACACTGGTACTAGAGCTTACCAGCCCCATTTAGTAATTTTTAATGGCTAGATGAGGTTTAACAAGAATATGAAAAGAAAAAAGAAAAAATATATTCATGAATGATAGGCGATGCCCATTCTTTCTCTCAAGCTAATGAAGTCCTATGGCATTCTAACCACAACCCTCGGACAGACTCCTCCTATTCCTCCATGGCATTGTAACCACAACCCTCGGACAGACTCCTCCTATTCCTCCATGGCATTGTAACCACAACCCTCGGACAGACTCCTCCTACTCCTCCATGGCATTGTAACCACAACCCTCGGACAGACTCCTCCTACTCCTCCATGGCATTGTAACCACAACCCTCGGACAGACTCCTCCTACTCCTCCATGGCATTGTAACCACAACCCTCGGACAGACTCCTCCTATTCCTCCATGGCATTGTAACCACAACCCTCGGACAGACTCCTCCTATTCCTCCATGGCATTGTAACCACAACCCTCGGACAGACTCCTCCTATTCCTCCATGGCATTGTAACCACAACCCTCGGACAGACTCCTATTCCTCCATGGCATTGTAACCACAACCCTCGGACAGACTCCTCCTATTCCTCCATGGCATTGTAACCACAACCCTCGGACAGACTCCTTCTGTTCCTCCTTTCCTCGTCCTTCCCTGCTTTTCGTCCATTCAGCATATAGCTATTCAGTACTCCATTGAAGAAATTATGCTAAGTGAGCAAAGCAACATAATTACTAAGAATTAATTCTGATTATTTGGCACTAGAGCCAACAGCAACCCCAGCACAGAGGAAAGTCGCTTTTTTTTCAAATGCATAAATTTAAAGTATGTATTTGCATGCAGTTTTAAATGGGAGGTATTTGTCATTGTGAAAAGCTGGGAATCTCAAACATAGTCAACTTAACTAAAAAGAAGCTAATACAGGTTGAGCATTCCTAATCCAAAAATCCAGAATCCAAATTGCTCCAAAATCTGAAACTTTCTGAATGCTGACCTGATACTACAAGTAGAAAATTCCACATACAAGTACTTAACACAAACTTTGTTTCATGCACAAACTACTAAAAATATTGTATAAAATTACCTTCAGGCAGTGTGTGTAGTTATATATGAAACATGAATTTCATGTTTAGACTTGGGTCCATGCCCAAGATACCTCATTAGGTATCTGTAAATATCCGAAATCCAAAAAAAAGTCTGAAATCTGAAACACTTCTGGTCCCAAGCATTTCAGTAAGTGATGCTCAACCTGCGTAATGGTCTGCGGGCCAGTGCTCATTTTCTGCCTATGTTGTACATACTTTAAATTGTGTAAATTAAAAGTCAAAGCAAAGAGTCTATTTTTAAAGAAACTTACAATAATCTAAACATATACTTCTTATGATTATGAATCATCCTGCAAAGCTGAATGAAGAATTTTACCAAAAATACAATGAATTAATCATATATTTGAGAGTCACAGTGATAGGTTCGACTATATTTTGACTGTTGTGTAGTGGCACCGTTTAGGTAGTATTGTTTCTGAGCATGGTGCTTTTTATACTTGAAATATATTTTTGCTTTATTTTTTATTGATATAATTATATTTGCACTAATGGCTTTCTGAAGAAAATATTATAGATGACATTTTTTGTATATATATTTATTAAGCTTGGGAACCTGGTCGCCCAGTGTTTTCTCTGGACAAATGTGAAACTGGATAAAGTATGGATAAAGTCTTGAGTTCCTCAGGGTAACTGTGTTGATGTCTCCCGTCCTCTTCAGTAAGGCTTGAATATGATTTTACTCATCATTGATTCTGCATAGTGTACCCAGCAAGACTTAGAAGGACACTGAACCTGTCAGAGATTTTAAGAGGCACATTTTAGTCACTTTGAATATGGTAGTGGTGGGCGCGGTGACTGAAGCCTGTAATCTCAGCACTTCGGGAGGCCAAGGCAAGCAGATCACGAGATCAGGAGTTTGAGGTTACAGTGAGCTGATCGCACCACTGCACTGCAGCCTGGATGACAGAGTGAGACTTTCTTGGGAAAAAAAAAAATGACAGTGAAGCAGACTTTTAGAATCCGAGATGTCATTGCAGAATTATTGGTATAAAATTCAGCTGCAAAGTGAAGAAATTGAAATGGCCCACACGTTGATATCCTGTGGCAGGTTATACCCTTCATGTTAGCAAAGACGAAGCCACGTCGCTGTGTTAAGAGGGACAGGCTGGGCCGGCTGCAGCTGTAGTGGAAGTGAGGGACACAGGGAAGGAATGGGGAGCAGCAATTTGGGGACAGTAGACTGGAGTCACTTTCTGACTCAAAAAGGGTCAAGTACTTATTAAAAACTATCTTGGTTTTCTGTTCAGACTTAGGCTCATTTTGATCATTTTAAGGTCCCAGTTGTCAAAAATATCAAGTGAATTTGTCTCAGGTTTTCAGAAACAAAATTTACAGGAAGGAAGCAAAAGCCATGTCAGTAGCCTTGAGCTGACAGCTTTAAAGAAACTGGCAAACAGGTAGGTTGTCCTCATATAGATCCTTCCAGTATTCTGAAAAACATCCTTTTATTTCTTAAAACCAGTAACCCTTACATTTTTCCTATAGGATAGTTATTTTTGTTGAGATCAAATAGACATTCTATAAATGTTATAAATTATGCTTGCAGTTACTCAGCCTATCTAGGCTTAAGGTTTATCAATATTTGAAGTTGAAACATCATCTTATGAGGTTTAGTTTTAGGAAGATAAATAAATATATCAAAGTATTTCATAAAGTTGTATCAATGTTCCTTCTAACATTAGAAGACTTACTGACTGAGGCCATCTGTGAACGACTAGGTGATCTCAGAATCCTTCCAGCTCTAATACCCTCTGACTAACACTCACCCAGAATTGCTGTCTGTGCTGGCTGTGATCTGCCTCCAGGAGCATACGCCATCCTGCGTGCTGTGTCCATCACAGTGTCTGTGCTCGGTGCCTTACCACTGTCCGTGTCCTTGGACGCTGACTGGACAGAGAGGAGCCTGTCTCTCAGGGCACATGAGTCGTCGTGGCAGGAGGAGACGGGCCTCAGTCACAGTGTCACAGACCCTTGTCACAGTGGACACTAGTCATTCCTGCCATGTCCTTGCAGCCCAGGAGGACTAAAAAGATTTTAATGAAGTCTGTGTTACTCATTCTGAAGAAAAGAACTTACCTGAGAGGAGTAATATTTTTTTAATATATATTGGGTCAGGGACAGGGATGGAGTGGTTGTTTTATGTTTACATTTTTAATAAGTAAAATAGAAGATTTAAGAACTAATATTTATGGTATTGAACTTTAAGTGTGATATATTCCTTAGAAAAACACAACTTTAATAAAAATGGAAACTAATTTGCATCCTGTCTTTATTTAACACCATCAGTTTTTTAAAAACCTGGATGAGGGCTGGTCACTGTGGCTCATGCCTGTAATCCCAGCACTTTGGGAGGCCAAGGTGGAAGGATCGCTTGAGCCCAGGAATTTGAGACCAGCATCTCAAATTCAAATAGGGAGGCCGTGTCTCTACAAAAAATAAAAATAAAAAATTAGTCAGGTGTGGTAGAGCACACCTGTAGTCCCAGCCACTCGGGAGGCTGAGATGGGAGGATCACTTGAGCCGGGGAGTTAGAGGCTGCAGTGAGCCAAGATCACACCACTGCATTCCAGCGTGGATGACAGAGCAAGATCCTGTCTCTAAAACAGTCATGGACTCTCTTTGGGGAAGACAAGGTGTTTATTACGAAATATAATCAGTTTCTACTTAAAGGTGAGTAAAATTGTCCTACTTAAAGAGTGGAGACAGGTCTAGTTAAGCAGGAAAGAGCAGACTAAAGCAATTCATAGACAATTTGGTCTATGCTGTGGGCCAGAAGGTTCGTTGCATGACCACCCTGGCACATTCAAGCACCACACTTGACACAGTGGCATCAAATAGGCTGTGGCTGTAGTCCTGGAGTGTGGTTTCTTCCCATAACCTGCATGTAGCACAAGAGAATGTCCCAGGAGGTCCCTTCCTCATGTGCATTTAGAGCCGTTCTGCCTGTGACTTGGAGCCAAGTGCTTTGTGAAATTGATCCAGTATCGTGTGCGTGACTTAATTGCTGGACTGAGATCTTTGTGGGGATTTTCTGATATGTTGTGTTTTTAAAGTTTTACAGATTGCATATAAGTAGCTAAAACTATATACAATAAATTACCTCAGATAAATACAATATTATTTGCCCAGCATACTGAAGATAAAGCTATATCTCATATATTACTTTGTTTACACTACCTTTGGATATGTTCATAGAATATACTATTTTAGGGGGCATTATTACATAAGTCTTTTGTTCACAACCTCACCAGTATATATGCAGAAATGGAGGAGTTTATTTAAATCACCTTTGTTGGGATCCCATTAGAAGTTCATTTTTTTAAATGTTTAAAATGAATTAGGGAGATGGGTCCAAATACGTGACCCAAATATTTGTCCAAATATTCTGATAGTCGATGCTTTTTCCATTTTATATTATAGAAATATTTTAATGCCTATAGATGTTATGTCTTAGATACAAAATCATTTTAATTCTCAGTGCCACTCAATTTTTTCAATTTCAGTAGAGACATTAGCGACTCAACAACTTTCTGACATTGCCTTATTCGGAAATACTCCAATCACAGTATCTGAACATCTGGCTTTCCCCCACATCAGGTGTCTCCTAGTGACATTTCAGGAGTGTACAGGCAGATGAGAAGAGGGTTGCCATGTGTTCACACTCATGAGTGTTCATAAGTGGAGATTTGGATGTATTTGGTTGAAGATAGAATGTAAGTGAGGTTGCCACAAAGAACACAAAGAATAGAGTAATTGCTTCTTCAGCACAGCTTGCCTGCTGTATGAGTCTGTTTTCATGCTGCTGATAAAGACACCCAAGACTGGGCAGTTTACAAGAGCAAGCGGTTTAATGGACTTTACATGTCTACATGGCTGGGGAGGCCTCACCGTCATGGCAGGAGGTGAAAGGCACGTTTCACAGGGAAGCAGACAAGAGCAGAGAGCTTGTGTAGGGAAACTCCCCATTTTAAACCCATCGGATCTCATGAGACTTATTCACTATCACAAGAACAGCACAGGAAACACCTGCCCCCCCCCAATTCAATTGCCCCCCACTGGGTCCCTCCTGCAAACATGGGAATTCAAGATGAGATTTGGGTGGAGATGAAACCGCCTTCTCAAAATGATGACTGAGCCAGTGAAAGAGATCTAACTTAGCCGACTCCATCTTGCGTCTAACCTCCAAGCTGTCCTTGTTCATTCCTGGGCGAAGGCTGAACTAACTTGGGGGGAAACTTAGTTTATAGTCTCAGGTTCCATGGCCCTGATAGGACTGAACCAGAAGGATCCAGGGAAGGACAAACCCTGGGGCTGAGGCCCTATGACCCAATGGCCATTGGTGGCCTAGCCTTATGGCCCCAAGACACCCTGTCCTCAGGCCACAGACACCATGGGCTTTGGTCAGGTCCCAACTTCCCAGTAGTGTCCTGACACTAGCGGGTGCTGACTGCTGAGCCACAACCACAGTTCTGGGTTTTGGGTTTGGTAAAACCACCTCAGGGACAGAGTTCTGGAGTTGGGTTTGGCAGAAACCATGGCACCTCCCAGGGATGGTGTGTCACTCCTGCTTGCCACCAAATGTGCACATAGGCTGTCCCCCTTGTCCAGCCCATCCTGCTGGACAGGATGGAGGAAGTCAGGGAACATACACGGTGGACAGCTGGGGTGCAGGGAGAGGCAGGTGCATGCTGGGAGGTCAGACCCTGTGAGGGCTGTGGGGGCATCAGGTGGAGTGGACTCAGGTGCACCCTCAGTGCACTGGGCAGGTCTTAGGCCAGGCTCCGTGGACCCCAGCTGTGTGATGTGGTCACTCCCTGAGGGACTGCCGTCAGGCCCCAGTCACCCACCCTGGGCAGCACCGTCCCATCTCAGGGCTGGGCTTTCTGAGTCCTGAGACAGAACAGTACTGCCCAGGCCTGACAGACCGGGGGGCCCTGCCAAGTCCTCCATCCCTAGACCAGCCTCGCACACAGCACGGACAGTCTCTCACCTTCAACTTCAGGGCACTGACTGATACTTCTCATTCTAAGGCAACCAAGGCAGAGCTGAGGACCTGCGCCAGGCTAGGAGCCAGTCCCCTCCCTAAGTGGGCCTGATGGAAGCACCATCCTTGTCCCAATCCACTACAAGTTTCAGCCCAGGAGACACACAGGGAAGGGAGGATGGGGTCTCCCTGCTGGCTGTCACTGGAAAAGCAGGACCTGGGAGCAGAGGGAGCTCAGGGCTGGCAGGGGATGCTCAGGCCCATGGAGAGCTTGGGCTGCATCCTGGGGCTGCCCCTCCTGGGCTAGAGGCTGTGCCCTCTGCAGGATCTGAGAAAGTCCAGTCCTGAGATGGGACAGTGCTGCCCAGGGTGGGTGGCTGGGGCCTGACAGCAGTCCCCCAGGGAACGATCACATCACCCGGCCTGGGTCTAGGGAACCTGGGCTGAGACCTGCCCAGTGCACTGAGGGTTCACCTGGAGCCCACCCCACCTGATGCCCCCACAGCCCTCTCAGGGTCTGACTTCCCAGCATGCACCTGCCTCTCCCTGCACCCCAACTGCCCACGTGCCTATTCCCTGGCTTCCTCCATCCTGTGCAGCACATAGACTGTGACCGTCTCTCCAGCCACTCTGGCCTTTCCTTTAACTTTGTCCTGTCAGGATCTCTGAGCAAGATCCTCCAGGTCCATCCAAACACCTGCTTTGTCCACTTTTGACTGGGCTGTTGGGTGCCACTGGGCCGTCCCAGCTGTCCACAGGGCCCTCAATAACATGCATTGCACCTGTGATCTCCCAGCAGCGCTCATCACCCCCCAATGACCAAGTCCCTGCTGGCCAGACCCCACACACCAGGTCCTCCCCGACCAAACCCTCACCGATTAGACCTCCATCAGGAGGTCCCACTAACCAGGCCTCCGCTGCCAGGCCCACAGTGACCAGGACTTCACTGACCAGGACCTTACTGACAAGGCCTCACTGACCAGGTTCCACTGATCATGACCCCATTGCCTGGCCCCACAGATGAGGCCCCACTGACCAGGCCTCCAGGGAACAGGCTGCCACTGACCAGGCCCCTGCTAACCAGGACTGAGGTGACCAGATGCCCCTGACCACGACCCTAGTGAGTAGACCCCACTGAACAGGCACCCGCTGCTGAGATCCCTGCTGACCAGGTCACCCCACAGACCAGTGCTACAAAAGCCACAACTGACCCAGTCTTCTCTGACCAGGCCCCCGTTGATTCGGTTCCACTGACCAGGCTGCCCTGACCAGGACCCCACTGACAAGGGCCTCGCTGATGAGGACACGCCCACCAGGCCATGCTGACTAGGTCCCTTGTGGTCAGGCCTCCACTGAATAGCACCCCTTGACCTGGTCACCAGTGCCCCAGCTCATGCTGACCAGGCCACCACTAAGCCCCAGTTGACCACTAAGCTCCACTGACCAAGCCCCACAGCCCAAGTTTGCACTGACCAGACACCAAACAACTGGCTGCCACTAGGTCTCCACTCACTAAGACCCCACTACTAGATCCCCCTAATGAGACCCTCTCTAAACAGACCCCTGCTGACCATGCCCCCATTAAACAGGCCTCGCTGACTAGGTCAGTCCCAACTGACTGGGTCCACTGACCAGGCCCACGCTGATCAGGCCCCTCCTAACCATACCAGAAGGCCAAGCGGCAATGAGACATTTCATATGGCAGGAGTAGGAGCAAGACAGAGAGAGGAAAGAAGAGCCACATCTTGTTATAAGACCAGATCTCAGGATAACTCACTATCAGGAGATCAGCATCAAGAAGATTAACCATTGGTGAAGGATCCGCCACCCACACCACCGCCCACTGTTTCCAGGCAGAAGCCTCCTGCAGAGGCAGAACCTCTTGGAAAACCTCTGCTAGGGCAGTGCAGAAGGAAACTATGGGCTTGGAGCCCCCACACAGGAGGCCACCATCCTCCAGAGCCCAGATTCATAGACAAACCAACGGCTCACACCCTCAGTATGGAAAAGCTACAGGCACTCCACACCAACCCAGCCCATGAGAGCAGCCATGGGGGCTAAAGCCTGCAAAGCCACAGGTGCACTGCCCTAGTAGAGGTTTCCCATGAGCCTCTGCCTCTGCAGCAGGTTACCCCCCTTCCTGCTACCCCTACCCTCTCACCACCCTACTGCCAACATACTCCTCCCTACCCTACCCACTCCTTTTTCTTCCACCCCAACACCCTCCTGTCATGATTAAATCACCTCCCACCAGGCCCCACCTCCAACATTCAGGATTACAATTCACTTGAGTTTTTCTAGGGAAACACAGACAAACCATATTATTCAAACCCTGAGCCCACTGAATCTCATGTCCTTCTCACAGAGCAAAATACAATCAAGCCTTTACAAAAGTTCCCAAAAGTCTTCAATCATTCCAGCATTAATGCAAATGTAACAATTCCACATCTCATCTGAGACAAGGCTACAGTCCCTTTGCCTATGAGTCCCTGAATGTAAAAGGGAGTTCTTTTCTTTCAAGGTACGGTGATGGTAAAGGCATTGGGTAAGCTTTCTCAATCCAAAGGGAAGAAATTTCCTGGGAAAATAACACAAATGGGACCACAGGCCCAATGCAAGTCCAAACCCAGAAGCCCAGTATCCATTCAATCTCACAGCTCCAAAATCATGAAGATAACTCACTATCACAAGGACAGCAATAAGGAGATGGTGTTTAATCATTTGTGAAGGGTCCACCCCCTCGCCACTTTTCACCCCTCACCCCCACCATAGTCCCCCATTTTCCCTATGCCCCCACCTTCCAACCCCCACTCCCCACCATGATTAAATCACCTTCCACCATGCCCCACCTTTAACAATCCCGACTACAATTCCACATGAGTTTTGGCAGGGACACAGAGCTAAATTTTATTATTCTGTCCCTGACTCCTAAAATCTCATGTCCTTCTCACATTGCAAAATACAATGATGCCTTCCCTACAGTCCCCTAAAGTCTTACATCGTTCCAGCATTTATACAAATGTCCAAAGCTTAAAGTGTCATCTGACACAAGGCTACAGTCCCTTAGGCCCATGAGCCTCTGAAATATAAAGCAAGTTAACTACTTCCAAAGCACAGTACTTGCACAGGCAATGGGTAAGCATTACCAGCCAAAAGGGAGGATTTTGCCAGAAAGAACAAAGCACAGATAGGACTTACAGTCTCCAAACCCAGAAGGCCAGTCATTCAATCCTAAAGCTCCAAAATCACCCTTTTTGAAACCTTGTCCCACATCCAGGGCACAAGGGTGTGAGGGCTGGGCTCCCAAGGCCTTGGGCAGCTCTGCACCTGTGGCTTTGCAGAGTTTACACCCCACGGCTGCCCTCATGGGCTGGGCTGGCATTGAGTGCCTGTAGCTTTTCCCCACTGATGGTACAAGCTGTTGGGAGGGGGGTGTTCTATAAATCTGGGGTCTGCATGATGGTAGCCTCCAGTGTGGGGGCTCCAACCCCATATTTTCCTTTGGCACTGCTCTAGTAGAGGTTTCTTATGAGGCTCTGCCTTTTGGGGATGCTTTTGCCTGGACACCCAGGCATTTCCATACATCTTCCAAAATCTATACAGAGGCTCCCAAGCCTCTAGTCTCATGCTCTGTCCACCTAGTGGCTTAACACTATGAGGAAGTTACCAAGGCTTCTAGCTCACATCCTCTGAAGCAGTGACACAGGCTGTATCTGTGCATCTTTCAGCCATGGCTGGAGCTGCAGCTGGAGCTGCAGGGATGCAGGCAGCAGTGTCCTGAGGCTGCACATAGAGGGAGATCATGGGACTGGCCCAGGAAACCATACTTCTCTCCTAGGCCCCAGGGCCTGTGACAGCAAGGGCTGCTGTAAATGTCTCTGAAATGCCTTCAAGGCCTTTTTCCTATTGTCTTGGCTACTAGCACTGGACTCCTTTTTATGCAAATTTCTGAACCCTTCCAGAATTTTTCCCCTGAAAATCAGCTTTTCTTTTTGACCAATTGGCCAGGCTGCAAATTTTCCAAACTTTTGAGTTTGCTTCTCATTTAATATAAGAGTTGGGACTCATTTAATATAAGTCCGAATCAGAGGTCACTGCCTCAGTCACACATAAAAGCACAGGCTGTTTGATGCAGACAGGACACATCTTGAGCTTTGCTGCCTAGAAGTTCATTCCACCAGACATGCACTAAGTCATCACCCTCAAGTTCAAAGTTTCACAGTGCGGACGGCAAGTCATCCAGGTGCCGAGGCAAGAGACTGAGGGCACGAGCTGTTCCAGTATAATAAAATATATAAAACAACAAGAGTTATACTAGATCTAGATCATAGACATGATTATCTATGAATATCATTCATCATTAGTTTGTAGCAATGACTCTTTATTCCAATATTATAATAATCCTCGCTCTATAATCATAACCTAGGAAAAGCCAGGCCATACAGAGACAGGAGCTGAGGGCACATAGTGAGAAGTGACCGAAGACGAGTGCGAGCTTTTCTGTCATGCCCGGACAGGGCCACCAGAGGGCTCCTTGGTCTAGCGGTGACGCCAGCGTCTGGGAAGACGCCCGTTGCCAAGCGGACTGTGGTCTAGCAGTAGCATCAGTGTCAAGGAAAAACACCCACTACTTAGCAGACCAGGAAAGGGAGTCTCCCTTTCCCCTGGGGAGTTTAGAGAAGATTCTACTCCTCCACTTCTTGTGGAGGGCCTGACTGATGTCAGGCCCACCCGCAGTTATCCGGAGGCCTAACCGTCTCCCTGTGATGCTATGCTTCAGTGGTCACGCTCCTAGTCCGCTTTCATTTTCCACCCTGTACACCTAGCTCTGCCTTTTAGATAACAGTAGCAAAATTAGTGAAAGTACTAAAAGTCTCTAATACGCAGAAATAATGGTGTAAGCTGTCTCTCTCTCTCCCCCCTCTCTCTGCCTTGGCTGCCAGGCAGGGAAGGGCCCCCTGTCCAGTGGACACATGACCCACGTGACCTTACCTATCATTGGAGATGGCTCACACTCATTATCCTGCCCCTTTTGCTTTGTATCCCATAAATAACAGTGCAGCCAGGCATTCAGGGCCACTACCAGTCTCCGCATCTTGGTGGTAGTGGTCCCCTGGACCCAGCTGTCTTTTCTTTTATCTCTTTGTCTTGTGTCTTCATTTCTACACTTTCTTGTCTCCACATATGGGAGAAAACCCACCGACCCTGTAGGCTGGAGCCTATATCACAGATCTCCAGGGCAGGGTCGCCGTGAAGCCATGTTCTCTGCTACAGCAAATCAAAAGTACCCTTGGCTTCTGTTCCTAGTAAGTTCCTCATTTTCATCTGAGACCTTCTAAGTCTGGCCTTTACTGTCCATTTTCCTGTCAGGCTTTTGATCACGAGTATTTAACAATTCTTTACAAAGATCCAAACTTTCCCTCATCTTCCTGTCTTCAAAGCCCTCCAAACTCTCCTGACCTCTGTTTGCTAGCCCCTTCTGAACTTGCTTCTGCATTATCAGCTATCTTTGTTGCAGCCTGGCAATGTGGTAAAGGAAGACAAGTCCATTTTGAGGGGAAAAATTCAAGAAGGCTTCAGATACTTGAATGAAAAGAAGCTGAGTGCTGATTGTCAAGACAACAGGGAAAAGGCCTTGAAGACATCTGATAGCTCCACTTTGCAGTACTAATATTCTCTATGATCATAAAGAAAAGAGCTTTAATCGGCCCATGATTCTGCAGGACTCAGGAAGCCACCCAATCATACCAGAATATCAAGGGGCAATGAGACGAAGGAGGTGGCACACCCTATTATACAACCAGATCTCCTGAGAAAAAGGAAACAGGCAGTTTTAGAAAAAAAGGAAAGGGACAGAGATATGTGTTGACGTAAAGACTTTGAAGAAGAGATCTAGAGATCTTTCCTGACAAAATGTCAACAAAATGAAAGATATGCAGAACCATGTAGAGAAAGGCAATGACAGAAAAATGTTCATTAGAATCAGAAAACCAACTTAAGTGCTCAGTAAATAAATAGAAAAGTAGCTGTGTTCAGGGCTTCAAAGACACATTCCATTTAAAAAAAAACTGTGATCAAAACATGAATGCTCATTTTACTCTTTTTAAGTTATGCATATATTTATATATATATAAAATTTATTTCTGTAAGACAGAAGTTTAATAGCATGTATACTTCATGTATACAACAGAAGGGCCCATGTAAAATGAGTAAATTTCCATGATATGTTTTATATTTAAAAGAAAAAGAGGCAGAAACAAAATACAAGCTACATATCAAGATAAATTTTGATGTTAAAGAATGACACGAATAGGTCTCCTTTAAAGAATTTGAATGCAGCAGAGAAGGATACTGCAAAAGAAAGTTGACCAAAGACAGCAAAAATATCTTCAGAAATTATAATTGAAACTAGATAATGAAGAGTGCAGTTGACATTACATGTTCAAGGCTTTCTCATTATTGTTTTCAAAATCATTAAAGAATAAATGGCTGGGTGCAGTGGCTCACACCAACTTTTTGAGACCCAGGTGGGCAGATCACAAGGTCAGGAGTTCGAGACCAGCCTGACCAACATGGTGAAACTCCGTCTCTACTAAAAATACAAAAATTAGCCAGGTGTGGTGGTGCATGCCTGTAATCCCAGCTACTCAGGAGGCTGAGGCCAGAGAAATGCTTGAACCTGGGAGGTGGAGGTCGCAGTGAGCAGAGAATGCACCATTGCACTCCAGCCTGGATGACAGACTCAGACTCTGTCTCCAAAAAAAAAAAAAAAAAAAAAGAAGTGTAGCATTTTGGCATTCAAAAAAATTTCAGATTGTGTTGTTTCTTTTTTTATATGTTTTTAATATAAATTTTTTCATCCCAACCTTGCCCCAGCAGCTCAGCTGACTCCCGCCCCCATGACGCACATGCCTATAATGTTGTGAGTTTCCAAAATACATTTTAAAATAGATTTCGTTTAATTATGAAAATGCAGACATAAAATGAATTTGTATCTAGGTTTTAATCAAGTAATATTAGAGTTAAGTCAATTAATAAATGATTAAAATGTTCTACAATATGAAAACCATACCCAGATGCCTCTTCCTCTAATTCATGATTTTTCTTCCTTATTTGATCCACATTATACTCCAGTGATGATATTAACTCAAAAAAAGTTTTCTTAATTCTTCATTTTCTTCTTCAGGCTTGAAAAAGAAAGTGTTGCAATAAACATGCACACCTATGTTTATTGCAACACTTTCTTTTTCAAGCCTGAAGAAGAAAATGAAGAATTAAGAAAACTTTTTGAGTTAATATCTTATTCACAGTAGCAAAGACTTGGAACCAACCCAAATGTCCAACAATGACAGACTGGATTAAGAAAATGTGGCACATATACACCATGGAATACTATGTAGCCATAAAAAGTGATGAGTTCATGTCCTTTGTAGGGACATGGATGAAGCTGGAAACCATCATCTCAGCAAACTATTGCAAGAACAAAAAACCAAACACCACATGTTCTCACTCATAGGTGGGAATTGAACAATGAGAATACATGGACACAGGAAGGGGAACATCACACTCTGGGGACTGTTGTGGGGTGGGGGAGGGGGGAGGGATAGCATTAGGAGATATACCTAATGCTAAATGATGAGTTAATGGGTACAGCACACCAACATGGCACATGTATACATATGTAACAAACCTGCACGTTGTGCACATGTACCCTAAAACTTAAAGTATAATAACAAAAAAATTTAAAAAAGGCTTTTATTTGGCAATAGTTTTAGATTATTCTAGGTTGCAGATAGTACAGAGAGTTCTTGTATAACCCTCACCTGGTTTCCTCTAATGTTAACATTTTACATAACAATGGTACATTTGTTGAAATTAACATTGGTACATTACTATTAACTAAACTCCAGACTTTATTCTTAAAAAAAAAAAAAAAGAAAAAAAGAAAGTGTTTAAAATTATTTTTGTAAAATCTAGAGACCCTGTTCTATCTTAAAAATGTTATTTCTCATAAGTTGATGAATAATATGTATTTAGGCAGGTGTATAAAGCACATTTTATAAACCTGACGCCAATAAGGACAGATTTCAAAAATAGACACTTTTCTTAAAACAGCTAAAAATGATTTATACTTTCATCATTATCTTTTCTGAAATTTAAGCTGCCAAAAATGAGGGTTAAAAGTGGGGGTTTTTACACATAAAATACTAAGGGTTAGTAAAAAAAAAAAAAAGAGTAGTTATATTTACATTTTAGTTTTTAAAGATGCTTTAGAAACATTGTCATTAATAGTTAAAGATATTCCAAGTTTTGTTAAATTACATCTTACTAAGATGATTTTTAGAAAACTCTTATCTAGTTCCCATTACATTTTTGATCCTCATCTGTCTTCAGGCTGATCTAAATATTCTCTGTTAGTATTCACCCATAGATTTCAGTTTTTTCCCTTTCTCTTAATCATTTCTCTTTAAATAAAGATTTTTTCTATAATAAAAACATAACTTTTGTCTACTTTTTGTAGATTTTCTATTATCCTGCTTCTCCCCTTCCATTGGACTCTATGACACATGGTCTCATCCAGAGATCTATTTTTCATCACTTATTGTGTTTTTTATACCGCAATCTGATTTTTAAATAATTCCAATAAAAAAGTGCAAGGGTCATGAAGGACTTTATCCTGCTTTACTCAGCAGCAACTGCGAGTAGACCAAATGCTCCCTCTGCTCCTCTGAACCCACTTTATTTCTAAATGCAGCAACCTCTGATGTTCAGTCCTATTCCTTTCTATTCCTGTTTTTTTGTTTGTTTTTTGTTTTTTTGTTTTTGTTTTTTTTTTGAGACGGAGTCTTGCACTGTTGTCCAGGCTGGAGTGCAGTGGCGTGATCTCCGCTCACTGCAACCTCTGCCTCCCAGGTTCAAGCGATTCTCCTGCCTCGGCCTCCCACGTAGCTGGGATTACAGGTGCCCACCACCATGCCTGGCTAATTTTTTGTATTTTTAGTAGAGACGGGGTTTCACCATGTTGGCCAGGTTGGTCTTGAACTCCTGACCTCATGATCTGCCCACCTCGGCCTCCCAAAGTGCTGGGATTACAGGCATGAGCCATCACGCCCAGCCACTATTCCTCTTTTAAATTCTCTCAGGACTCCTAAAATCTCAAAATTTTGACCCAGATTCCCTAATCTACATTTCCAGCTCTGACCTTCTTCTTGAGGCCTCTTCTTTCTAGTACACATATTATAGACAATATTCTCAACCACACACTCAGACATTGCCACTTGGTGCAGGTTACTTTTGTAGATAGTGAATCATGTCTATTTTATGTTGATTCTTATTGATGTTACTGTGCATATAGTGTTATTTTCTAATCTCGAAGGGGGATCGTCTCACCCTTAGGATATTGACCAGCATACTTTGTCCTTTTTTTTTCTTTTCTTTTTTTTGAGATGGAATCACACTCTGTCATCCAGGCTGGAGTGCAGTGGCAACATCTTAGCTCACTACAACTTCCACCTCTTGGGTTCAAGTAATTCTCCTGCCTCAGCCTCCCAAGTAGCTGGGACAGAGGTGCACACCACCATTCCTGGCTAATTTTTATATTTTTAGTAGAGACAGGGTTTCACCATATTGGCCAGGATGATCTCGATCTCTTGACCTCATAATAATGGCAATAAGGAAATTATCTAAAAATACTATTTAACAGGAAAAAAGCCAATTTTCTGTGAGGAATGATGTATACTTCTCAACTTTCCCAAGAGAAAATATTGTAAAACGTATGCAATTATTTTTCAAAATGGCAGAATAAAAGCCAGAGTTTAAGAAATAAGTACATTATAAAGGTAATAAAATGGTAATAATTAATTATAATAAAAATAAAAAATCAAGCTGTCCACTGAAATTAGTATCCTAAAACAGTTTATATTATTCAACCAGCTACAGATTAACTGTCGACATGTTAAATTCCATACATATTTGACTTCCTACTTGAAATATAATTTCTTCTCTGAAGCCCATGTCTCATCCAAATTAATATGACAATGTGATGTACCTTCCAGTGGAGACTCTGACATAGGAAATTTTTTAAGATGACTGGCCAGTTGTTCTTGAGGTTACCTTACAGTCTCCTGATAAAATATTTTTGTTATTAATTTTATAAATTGCCTTATTATTAAATTATGTTAATATTTAACTCTAACATGCATACTTTGAAAATTATTACCACACACATAGATTAGCTTTCTTTTTCTCATATGTATACATTCTCCTTTATTACTGAATTCAGTGAGGAACATAGAAGGTGTTGTCTTCGGCCGGGCGCGGTGGCTCACGCCTGTAATCCCAGCACTTTGGGAGGCCGAGGCGGGCGGATCACGAGGTCAGGAGATCGAGACCATCCCGGCTAAAACGGTGAAACCCCGTCTCTACTAAAAATACAAAAAAATTAGCCGGGCATGGTGGCGGGCGCCTGTAGTTCCAGCTACTCGGGAGGCTGAGGCAGGAGAACGGCGGGAACCCGGGAGGCGGAGCTTGCAGTGAGCCGAGATCGCGCCACTGCACTCCAGCCTGGGCGACAGAGCGAGACTCCGTCTCAAAAAAAAAAAAAAAAAAAAAGAAGGTGTTGTCTTCCTGCCAAATTGGTATTCTCTTACATGACAGATTGATTCAGCCCACTATTCATTCATCTCAGACCCTCAACTCAACCTGAGTTCCTCACACATTCAGTCACCTGTTCAAATCCTTCCAACAGATTCCTATCTCAGAGTAAAAGTAAAATTCCAACGGCCTTCAAGTCCCTAGATAACATGGCCTCTACCTCCCTCCCTGAGCTCAGCTCCTACAACTCTGTCCCATACTCACTTCATTCCCACTCTACATGAACTCTGCCACCCCTCATTAGTCTGAAAATGGGGATTCAATGTCAAACTCACAAATCACAGACAGCTACAAGTATCTTTGTACTGGACAAAGTTATATCCAAATGACAGTCATGGAGACTTGAAATGTAAATTATGAGCTAATTATTAATAAAAATATTCAAAGTAAATTATAAATACCTACCAGTGGGAACATTAAATCAAATATTTTTTGCTAAAATTTACCACATTTATTCCAAATTGTGATTTTATAACAAGTAGATGTCTTTAAAATATTAAGTGGTCAGAAAAATACATAATGTGAGACTGACATATTTTCAGACTTAAGTCACATTGATATGAATCAAAATAAAGTTATGCCAACTAAAATACATAAAAGAGCCACTGAAGGAAAAGCACCACAAGACAGAGCAACACACTTCAGTTCATCTGGGAAATCTAGAATTAAGTGTCAAAGTGGCTCACTTAATTGAATCTTAATTTCAAAATACTTATTTCAGGTACAAGATATCAATTTATCTGCTTCATTATGGTCTTAAAATGTGACAACATAAAGACATTAAATTTATTATTTCAGCAGTATAAGACTACATACTGTATGAACATTACTCTGTAGCTACTAAAATTTCATAGGTGACATAATGTGTTTACTCAAAGGAAAGCATCTGTCAGCTCTACCTTTTATTTCCTGGAAACAAGGTATGTTTCCAAGCTGATACAGTAAACATATTTTTTTTGTTTTTTTATTAAAACAGCTTTGCTAAAATATGATTTACATACTACAGAATTTATCTGTTTTAACATACAGTTCAAAGATTTTTAGTAAATTTACCAGTCGTGCAGTCATCTTTACAATCCAGCTTTAGAACATTTTCATCACTCCAGGATGATCCCTCATGCCCATCAGCAGTCACGACCCATTTCCAGCCCCAGCCCTACAGAAACATTCATCTTCTTTCTGTCCCTATACATGTCTTTTCTGGATGTTTCATGTTAATGGAATTATACAGTATGGTAAATACATTTTCATCTATTTATTATTATATTGAACTAGATTCAACATATAGCCACAATGAAATGTTTAAATTTTCTTTCTGGAAGGTTAAATATATTTATCTTTCTTCATACTTACTTCTCCTTCTTCTTTTACATACTGAAACAGTTTTTCTTTTATAGAATTATATTCATTCATTAGTTTCTTATTTTTCTCTTCTAGAAGATCTTTCCACTCTCAAGACAGCCTCCTTGGATATTAATTACTATCTCTTTATCATTGCCTTCCTTATGAGCACCCTCTAGTTGTCGTTGAAGCAAGAGACTGTCACATTCTAGTTGACATAGTCTCTCCTCTACACAGTTGTGCTTTCCGGTGGATCGACTCCTTTAGTTTCCTCATTTGGATGAATCTGCTCCATTTCCTTTATTCGATGCTGTGCTTGCCTTTGGTCCATCTGTACACTTTCTAAAGCCAATGTCTTTTCCCTGAGAGCATCTCTTATCTCATGGAGCTTACCTTTTAAGGTATTGAACTTCATCTGAGCTTTAGAAAATTGTTCAGTAAGCAACTCATTTTTATCTTTTAGTTGAGAAACAGTAGAACTTATTTTTTTATGTACGGAAAAATTATGTGCTCTCTGTAAAACAAGTTCTAGGTCTTTCGTTTCTAAACTTTCATTGTGCTCATTTATAGCAGCAGCCAGCCTAGAATGGAAGAATTCAACTTCAGCTTCCAGTCCATCTGTGTGGTGTTCTTCCTTCTCCAATTTTGAATTCAGCCTTGTATTCTCAGCTTTGAGGCCATTAAGCTGTTGACAATACTGGGACATCGTTTTTGTTGTCATTTCCTCATTGAGTCTTGCACTTTTTTCAAAGTTAGCATTTATTTCTCTAATACTCTTAATTTCCTGAATATATTCCTTTTCCTTTTTGACACTGTCATTTTTTATTGTGTATTATTCCTGTTTGAGTGTGGCAATATCTCCCTTCAATATGCAATTTGTATATATCACATCCTTCTTTTTTCTATAACTTTGAAAATCTTAAATAAAACAAAAGAAATTTTCAGCTAGCACTCAATAAAATAACATATCATGTTTATCTCTGAAGTGAAAGAACAACCTGTACATTCATGCAATTAAAAGTTGCTGTAAGTGGATATCCAACTGGAGAAAAAGTTGAAGCAAAACCTTGAACCTTAAAGAGCATAAATTTCAAAAAGTTCAAAACTTTATTTGAAGTCAATGAATCCATAAAACTAAAAACACACACATACACACTAGAGAACTGTTAAGAATATCAGAATTGGAAAAGCCTTTCTCTGAATTACAACAAACTCAAAGCATAAAGTAAAATATTAACAAATTTGACTAAATTAAAATATTGGAAAAAGGAAATTGCATTTATACTCTGATATCTAACCCAGATACCACCCTGTAGTAAGAGCTTTACCTCCACGTGTATTTGGACCGATAAAATTTCTCAAAGTTTTAGAAGTTCTGTTTCCCTGATAATATTCTATTGTGATTTGACTCAACATTTTTAGTCAGTTATAAGAATTTCATTTACTAAATCATAAATCTAGACATTGTACTAAGCACTTCTACGTACATACATTGATGAATTTCTTATCACAATTCTTAAAAAGAGAGGTTAAAAATATAAGCAAGCTGCAGGATGTTCCCAGGGCTTCTGACTCTACTTCTAGTTCTCCACCAGATCACAGTTACTTCTGTGGTGTAAATATATCAACACAAAAACAGAGAAACAAAAAGACACAGACATAAAATGTGTCTTCTGTCTTTGTCACCTGGATTCTCCATGAAATAGCCAGATTGAGAGGAGGTGACCTTGTGGGGCTTCAGAAACAGAAAAGAAGCTTTCCCTGTTCTGCACTAAGCTGTTATTTTCCCCACTGTCTTTTATCCTTATTTTTTCACTTGGATCCTGGGATATCAAAAAAGTGAAGGTGCTCACTGAAATAGAGGAACCAAAGTTTACCACAACTCAAGGAGCAGAGTGACACTGCTGAGTTGCTAGTGCAGAATCCTAGAAAATGAGATGTTCCCCAAGTTTACATTCAATCACCACAAAAGTTTATAGCTGGAAGATATACAGAATAGTTGTCTACTCTAGCCCCATTATCTACTTGATAATAGAAGTAAAACCAATAAATATTAAATAATTCACCCAAAGCTCCTAAGGTGGCATTACCTAGCACTTCATGGCACCAAAAGGGAAGATACAATTACATATTGCTGCATTACATAAATTACCAGATAAATATATCAAATTAGTCAAATAAATTAAAAGCGTGACTTTGGCAAAGCAATTTAATGCCTCAGAGGATGGCAGGAGGCCTCATCTGCTTTTAAGAAAATCTCTAGATTTTTGTCTATCTTTAGAACACAATGTACAGAACTCAGCTTTCCACTATAGAGTCAAATGATAAATATTTGGCTGAGAAGTTATGCTACTTACATGATAAAATCATACATGTCAAAACTTACCATATTTTATTAAACAACATAATGTAAAAGTGTGATTCAACAGAAACATTGGAGAGTGGTGATTTTTTTTAAATATGCAAAAGTATATGTATTTGTTTCCAAAAATATTTAAAATGGCCATTATGGAATTATAAGTTTAAACAGCTTGAGTCAGACAAATAAACTTGCATGCATGAAAGCACATTAAACAGACGCCTTTGGCTGATAATATTTGTTACAAGTCTCCAGGCTAGATACATTTTCATGTCTCTTCTCAGTCATTGTTTCCCTCCCATCGTGTTACCATTTTATCATTTAAATAAATGTAAGTCATCTTTAAATGAATACAGTAAGAAGAATCTAGAGCTTATTTCTTTAGCAATTTTCTTTATGTTTAGCTGATTCAGAAGGTCACATGGCATATGGCTAAATTATTTTCCCAGCCCATGTGCCACTTGGAAGACTGATAGTGAGACTCAGGTTGACTAATGAACAAAGATTATGAGAGTGTTTTCCAGAACTGTCATTTAGATAGCAGCACTGATCTACTTAGACACATAATTATGCATTTAGATAACCACACTGTAACTAGACACATGAGATTTTCTTGAGTAGAAAACCAGAATGAATCAGATAATTTATAAAAAGAGAAGCAGCAAGTGAACCTCTTTCTTTTTATAGTTAAGCTTTCTTTCTTCAAAGCCAGGAACTCTACTTGTAACATGCCCACCTCATTCTTAAGCCTTTGCATATCTTGCTGTAAGTCTTCTTCTAGATATGCTTTTGATGTTCTGTCACTATGGGGTGGAGAATAACTCACATTTTCTCATGCAGGTTTCATGCTTTTATAGCTATTAGCAGTGGAACTGTCTTATGTGGCTCCCTGAAACATACTTGCCAGTCATCTTCTAAGCTTTAGAAGAGCTTCTAAGTTCCATATGGCTTGTGGAACAAGTGCTTACTGGATTTTTGTTTTTGTAAGTGTCTGTAACAGCAGAAATACTGTGGCTTTCTATCTGTATCACATGCTTCATTTCTTTAGAGTAAACAAACCACAAATCAAACAGACTTTTTGGATCTCTAGACTGAGGCCAATGTCTAATGTCTAATTTCCAATTAACGGTATTTTGGTTTATATTTTTTTGTCATTTGCATATCAAACTCTTGGTCCTCTTTCATTTCAACCATAACTACTGGGTTCCCTAATTTTTCTATTTCTGTATCATTACAACAATTCTCTTCATCTCTGAGAAACAGGCTACATGTCTGGATAGTTACAAGTTTTACAGTCTGATTTATTTTCATTTGAATAAAGCTTAGAAGATGACTGGCAGGTGTGTTTGAGGGACCCAGAGTATAAATACAATGAAAAGACAGGTTTGTGATGTTCTCCTCCTGTTCAGGCAATGCCTGGGATACTACAGAGTTCGACACTCCAAGATGCATCTGCTTCCTTGCAGTCAGGGACATGATTCATTGGGTTAGAGGGCACTTCCTTTAATTTTGTCCCTCTTTAGAGTAACTATGTAAGAGCTCTTCCTCAGGACAAACAGTAATTTTGGATTTTTCAAAACTTTCACCAATTTTCAGTTGAACTTTCTTGTAATTAATTTTAAAGGAAGCCCTGAATATACAGATAAACACTCTTTATCACAATTCTTACTCAGTTCTGGTTCTTGAGACATTTTTTTGCAGGTGCAAAAGTGGAAAATTAATTTGCTTGTTTTGTTTCTCAGATGTCTTTTCTGTTAGGGTGCATGTTTTAAAATTAACTTTATTCTGAATTAAGTATGAATAAAAAAATAGAAAATAATTAAAATGTAACTGTAAAACTTAATCTATGTTTTGCTATCCCTAAGTTACTGGATTATAACTAAGAAGTAAAAAATAGTTTGCCTTGGCTTAACATAGGAGAAAAACATGAACCAGCAAGCTTAACTCTCACTGTTAGTTTGGACTAAACTTAATTCATTATGAATTAAATCTGCCAGAAATGGGCTCACAGATGATATGTAGTATTCTAAAGGCTTTCTCTCTTAAAAGGATTTTGACCTCAGGATACCATAAATAGTGAACCCCTACAGTAAATTCATATTTCTGAAGATTAACTGGAGAGTAGGCAAATGCTAAACTATTAGAAGCCAAAATGAACACCAATCAGAAAGAGAATAAAATTTTTAGATTCTACTTCAAATGCTATACTGTAATATGAGTGTTATCTAGATAGATTATCCACTTATATCCAGTTCTAATATACTCTAAGTCCCACTAGTGACAATGGATTAAAAGATTTTAATAACATTTACTATTTATACTAAAATAAGAAGGTTATTGTTTGTACCCTGATACCAAAGTCCCATTCTGGAAGTCATAATTCTCTTAATAGGCAGCTGGGTTGATTTTATGACCCCATTCTCTCCCTGAACAAAGACACTGAAGGCAACCAGAAACCAAAAAACAGAAGAAGTCTTTAACCTCAGCACTGGTGACCAGCAACATAAAACTGCAGAGTCTGAACCACTAGCAACGATGACTCCTTTAACACGAGTTGAACTCAGTGGCCATCACTGTTAAATTGTTCATAATTTCTCTTGCTTAGTAATACAACTCAATTTTTGATGTTACTTTCTTTGTCATGAAGAAGCTTATAAAAGTAAAAGAGCAAAGAGACTTCTGGAAATTTCTGGCCTCAATTCCAAGGGTACAGATAGCTATGAGTTACTGCAGACTGTAAGGATATTTTAAATTTTATAACTGGCTAAAATGTTTTAAAATTAAGTAAGAAATTATGATCTGTCTGTTGGATTCTAAAAGGACAGTCTAAAAGGTCACTTCTTTTGGACTATGCTGTGTTATTAAAGAAAAACCAACCAACCAATATTAAACCAGAAATTTAAATTGTTACATACCTCTGGCTGTTTATTTTCACTTCTTTCAAGCGTTTCTTGCTTTTCCTCTGAAGCCACTTTTAAGTCGTGTTCTGCAGACAAATCCATATGTTTAGTTAAAATGAATGACTTAGAACACTTAGATAAAGACTATAATCTTTATAAAAATGGATACAAAATAACATATACTTTTATTTTATAAATGGAGAGTTTAAATGAAGCTTAATGTTTACTGGAATATTTACATTTTAAAGAAATACTTCTAATTATCTAAAACCTCAACAAACCACTTAAGGAGACACTAGATATCAGCAGGTTCAAGCCATGCAAAAGTCTCAGGGTCACCCACAAATTATTCCACGCAAAATAAATAAGCAAAACTGCTGGAAACAAAGTAAAATTTAAAAATATAGTAAAAACATATAAAGTAATACTTTATTCTCTACTTCATAATAGTATCTTTTCAACAACATGCTAAGTGAGTTGTTATTTACTAATAATTTGCAAAATTTTGTTACCATTATACCTTTATTAGTGTATATCCTGATTTTTACATCTGAAATGTTTTCCTCTACTATTCTGACAAATTTATTTTCGTGTTTTAAGACTCTGAATGTAGGCTGGGCACAGTAGCTCACACCTGTAATCTCAGCACTTTGGAAGGCCCAGGAAGGAGAACTGCTCCAAGCCAAGAGTTTAAGAGCAGCCTGGAGACCATAGTGAAGCCCTGACTCTACAGAAAATTTGCCACGCATGGTGGTGTGTGCCTGTAGTCCCAGCTACTCAAAAGGTTGAGGTGAGAGGATCCCTTAAGCCCAGGAGTTTGAGTTTGCAGTGAATCTCGATCATGCCATTGCACTCCACCCTGGGTGACAGAGTAAGAACTTGTTTCTAAAAACAGAAAAAGAAAAAAGAAAAAATGACTCAGAATGCTATGTGAAGTCCTCCTTGAATCTGGCTGTATTTCTCCACGTACACAGGCGTCTCCTTCCTTGGGGCTCCCTTAGTACTTTGTCAAGTTTTCTAGTGTCACTCCACCATCTGAACTGCACATCATGTCTTTGCATGTCTATCCCCTTTGCTGCTAGACTGTAGCAATCATCTTCGTATAAACAGTCTTGATTTTACTAGATATTCATGGAGTTCCTGCTAAGTGGTAGGCACTGGGGTTTCAATAACGGGAATAAAAGCCATCGGGGATGGCTTTTCTAGAGACCATGCCTGAGCTGAGACTTAGACAGAGAGGCTTACCAGATTAAAGGAGGCAGAGGGCAGGAAAGGTAGCACATGCCAGGCAGCGGCAAGAGAGGGAGAGAAGCTTCCCAGAGTATATTTTTCTACATGAGAGGGATGGTGATGGGGGCATTACCAGCAGCTCAGTAATGCCAGAAAAAAGAGCAGACAGAGAAGGGGCTGCAGATGGAGATTTGGGCAGAAGCCAGTTTCTGAAAGCCTTATATAAACCAACTATTATTGTCATTTCTTAAATTTTTTTTAAAAGCAAAATAAATTTAAAAAGCATAATTCCAAGAAAAAGACCAACATTTTATTTTATCTTATCTTATTTGATTTTATTTTTTATCAGAGATGGGGTCTTACTCTGCCACCCAGGCTACAGTGTAATGTTGCTATCATAGCTAACTGCAGCCTCAAACTTCGAGGCTCAAGCAGTTCTCCTGCTTCAGCCTCCCAAGTAGCTGGGATTACAGGTGCAGAACACCACACCCAGCAACATTAAAAAAAAAATTGACATGGGGTCTCGCTATGTTGCCCAGGCTGCTGGACCTCCTGGCCTCAAGGGATCCTTCTGTCTCAGCCTCTAACACTGCTGGGATTACAGGCAGGAGCCACCATTCCCGGCAACACCAATATTTTCAAATGAATAAACTGGAGCTCCATCATTTTATTTTATCATGGATGGGTGAAAACCTTGTAATAAGACATATGTACTCCATGGATTTGTGACAAGGCAACTATAGCATTAATTATGGCTGAAGCTTCCCTTGTCTCCCAGTCGCTTTACATGGTTAAGAGTAGAGACACATAAGTGTCTTACCTTTTGCACCTTCTTCTCCTTTTTACAAATTTGCAGGCTTCATAGCTGTTGTTTCTGTCAAACGTGCAAGTTGTTAGATATTCCTTCTGCAAAACATCACCCCTCTGCCTCCTTACATGGCAAAGTTTCACTCGCTCTGCATGCTTACCCTAAATCCCATCCATGTTTCAGAAGCTTGTGCTCATCACCACAAATTTAAAGGTGGATGGCATCTCACGAACATAATAAATACCTAGTAAATAATAACTACACGCTCCCAGGTGACATCTATCCTCCATCAATCCTCTACATAAGGGGTCAGCACACTGCAGACCACAGGCCAAATCCTGCCTACCATATGTTTTTTCTCAATAAAGTTTTATGAGAGTACAGTTGGGCCTACTCACTGACATGCTACCTGTGACTGCTTTCACACACAATGGCAGGGTTGAGTAGCTACAACAGAGACCACATGGCCTTCAGCTGCTTAAATCTTTCTTGAAAAGAGACAGAGAGAGACCACATGGTCTAAAATATTTCCTACTTGGCCCTTTACAGAAAAAGCATGCCAATCCCTGAACAGAATGCCCTAATTCTCAAATCTAATCTAATGCCTCCCCGGCTCACGATTTTCCAATGAATTTCTAGACCAAACACTGCTGGCTCCCTATCCAAGAGCAGTTCCTTATTGTTTCTTGCTGGAGAAACACAAATCTATTTGGATATTTATTATCCCAATACCCCTCCCCAGCTTTAAAAGAGAAATGATTATTCTAAGCTAATCACATTTGCTTTCCCAGTGCCTGGTTTAGGAATGAGCATGTGGTGTGACCCAGCCAATAAAATATTACAAAAAGGGCCAGGCACGGTGGCTCATGCCTGTAATCCCAGCACTTTGGGAGGCTGAGGTGGGCAGATCACAACATCAAGAGCTCAAGACCATCCTGGTCAACATGGTGAAACCCCATCTCTACTAAAAATACAAAAATTAGCTGGGTGTGGTGGCACGCACCTGTAGTCCCAGCTACTTGGGAGGTTGAGCCAGGAGAATCGCTTGAACCTCGGAGGTGGAGGGTGCAGTGGGCCAAGATCATGCCATTGCACTCCAGCCTGGTGACAGAGCGAGACTCTGTCTCCAAAAAAAAAAAAAAAAAAAAAAAAAAAAAAAAAATTACAAAAAGTCCCCTGCATACTTCTGGGTTTTCTCCCAATTTAATAGACACATGTGAAGAAAAGCAGCCCTTGTGAGAACACGATGTTTGGAGCTGTTGCTAAGTAGCCAACCATGAAAGGGGAAATGAACAAGATACTGCCAACATTGTAGCTGAAAGAGGAACAAGTGGGACCCAATTATATCACTGGACAATCAAAACAAGTCTGGTTCTTATGGTTTTGGCCACGGTTAGTTAGGTCTTCTAGTATTTACAGCCAAAAGCATTCTACCTGAGAAGTTTCCCCTGGCCTACAGGATAAGATCTACTCATTTCTATACTATTAAAAGTCTTTTATTAAACTTGTTTCTAGACACAGGTCAAACAACAACAACAACAAAGTCTTTGCTAAGCTTGCCTTCACTGGCACATACTGAACATAATAAATAATAACTGTAAACTATTTCCACCTCATTGCCAACCACTCCTATACACTTTTTTTGCACTAGTAAATTTGAACTGCTCACAAACGCTACAAAGCTCACTCAGGTGTCTTACATTTTGAAATTGCTCCTCCTTTTCTAAAACTTTCGTTCTTCATGGCTGCTGCTTCTGTCAAACATGCAACTTGTTAGATATTCCTTCTGCCAAGCATCATCCCTCTGCCTCCTTATTGGCAAAGTTCCACTCACTCTGCATGCTTACCCTAAATCTGACCCAGATTTTAGAAGCTTGCATTCATCACCACAAATGTAAAAGTGCCTGGCACATACTGAACATAACGCATACATAATAAATTATAACAATAAGCTCCCAGATGACATTGGACACACAGTAAGCACTACATAATGTAGTAAATAAAATAAATGACAATGGTATTCACAATCTCCTAAGTGTATTTTTAAAATGTATTTTGTAACATTGGAAAAATGCTTAGTCCACTAAAGACACATGATAGTTATTTTTTAAGTGGAAAAATGTATGAATGAATTAAAATATTTTTTCTTAAAAATTCTGGTTAAAAAACACAAAAATTAAATAGTTATCTGTATTCTATTATGAGCACCTTAAAGACAAAAACTATTCAATTCCATCTTTGTCTGCTGCAATTTGCCAAACCTAACTTATAGAAGTAGTTTGATAAATATGTACTAAATTAATGGTGCCTTTATACAGTTTAGATTGTACAATGCATTAGGCGTTATATTTTTGTTACTGTGAACCATTTTTTTTTTTTTTTTTTTTTTGAGACGGAGTCTCGCTCTGTCGCCCAGGCTGGAGTGCAGTGACGGGATCTCGGCTCACTGCAAGCTCCGCCTCCCGGTACTGTGAACCATTTTTATAATTTTATTATAATTTTTTGAGCCTAGAGTTTGGCTAATGGAATATTTATTAAGATCATCTTTTGCCTAATGGTAACAGAGCATTTTTTTTTTTTTGAGATGGAGTCTTGAGTCTTGCTCTGTCACCCAGGCTGGAGTGCAGTGGCACAATCTTAGCTCACTGCAATCTCCACCTCCTGGGTTCAAGCAATTCTCTTGGCTTAGCCTCCCAAGTAGTTGGGATTACAGGTGCCTGCCCTCATGCCTGGCTAATTTTTGTATTTTTAGTAGAGATGGAGTTTCACCATGTTGGTTAGGCTGGTCTCAAACTCCTGACCTCAAGTGATATACCTGCCTCAGCCTCCCAAAGTGCTGGGATTACAGGCATGAGCCACCATACCCAGCCTGGTAACAGAGTCTCTTGTTCTAACAAAATTAATATTATTATGATAATTGTCCAGCACATTTTTAAAAACAGCTTGTTCTAAGAAGTGAATATATCTCATGAGGTTCCAACCTATGGAGAATGAGGAAAAAAATAGACCTTGTTTGTAGAAGAATATGTAACATAACTTCTGCTTCTTGTAAAGGAATTACTTTCCCATCTTCTGCATTCAATAGGTATCTTCAAAAATAATCTCCTATTTGTATGGGTGCACACTGGCTCAGTTTTATGGTCCTTATTGCCATTTGTTTATGGTATCAGAAAGGGATTTTTGAGTTCCCAGTTCTAAAGATAGTTACTTTCTTAGTGACACAAATTCCTGTGTAATACAGTTGACTCTTGAACAACAAGAGTTTGAACTGCAGGGGCCCACTTATATGTAGATTTTTCTTCTGCCTCTGCAACCCAGAGACAGCAAAACCAACCTTTTTTCTTCTTCCTCAGCCTAATCAACCTGAAGATGATGAAGATGAAGACCTTTGGGAAGACTCACTTCTGCCTTATGAATAGTAAGTACGTTTTTTTCTTTTCTATGACTTTCTTTATAACAGCTTCATTTCTCTAGCTTACTTTATTGTACAAACATAGTATATAACAATGCAGCACATACCAAATATGCGTTCATGGACTGCTTGTGTTATCAGCAAGGCTTCCAGTCAATGGTAGGCTATTAGTTAAGTTTAGAAGGAGTCAAAGTTATACTCAGATTTTCAACTGCACAGGGATCAGAGCCCCTAACTGCCACATTATTCAAGAATCAACTATAATTAATATTTATTTACTAAATACAAACCATTTATTATAAAAATTAAATAGAAGATCCATTTGCATCAAAAGTCCAATTTGTAATAATGTGATTATAGAGGAAAATACAACATACTAACTTAAAAATCTAATTTCTTATTTATATTAATACAAAAATATCACGTCGAATTTCAGGGAACATAAGTAGGTAAATGCATTGTTTTCAGACAATACTGTGAGATTATGAATTAGCTACAACTAACTTCTTAACTCTGAATTCTAAACTAAATAAATTAAATTTAAAAAATGTATATACATATATATTTTAAACTGCTCTTTTATGATTAAAACTATGTAATCTTACTTTTTTTTTTTTTCGGAGATAGAGTCTTGTTTTTTTATCCAGGCTGGAGTGCAGTGGTGTGATCTCAGCTCACTGCAACCTCCACCTCCTGGGTTCAAGTGATTCTCCTGCCTCAGCCTCCTGAGTAGCTGGGATTACAGGTGCCTGCCACCATGCCCAGCTAATTTTTGTATTTTTAGTAGAGATGGGTTTTGCCATGTTAGCCAGGCTGGTCTCAAACTCCTGACCTCAGGTGATCCACCTGCCTTGGCCTCCCAAAGTGCTGGGATTACAGGCATGACCCATCATGCCTGGCCTGTAATCTTACTTTTTAAAATCAATAAGACCACCAAGAGAAATGAGAAATTTACTAAAAGAAGTCCTACCTTAATTGTCATTTTGAAGATGATTTTAAAGTACTTATTTTTAGGTTCCAAAATTTGTTGTTGAATGCTATGCATAATAAATGTAATAAATAAAATTACTATTTTAATAGTGACATGAAAAATATTTACCAACTATGTTAAATTCTTAAAGCATTTCAGACAATATCAGAGCTAATATCAGAACTCTAATGTCCTATACACTTTAAAATTTTAAGCTCTATAAACTTACTAAGCTTCTAATTAAAGAAGAAAAACATGAAGTACTCATAAACTGAGAGAAGCATAGCTCAGTAAATTAATTCTAGTTAGCTTAACATCCTGGAAAGTGTCCTGCACTCAGAATAAGTCCTCACTTTGTAACCAATAGGTATTTTGTTTTCAGACCAGTTGCTTCTCTTAGGCTCCATGGCTTTTTCTAAAAAATAAGGATTTTACTACCTTACTTCACTAGGCTGTTAGGAGGATGTAATGAGATAACATGTTTAAATATTCAGAGAAATAGTAAAGCAATGGAATAATTTATTCTTGAACTGTATTGCTGAAACAATTTTGGAATCTCAAAACCTGATGGGTGTTTTTTCATAGGTTCTAATATTTGAATGTCACAGTTTTCAGAAAATGTTATTAAGTGCTAATTTTGGTTATTAGTTCTATTCATTGTGGCTTGTAGTTCAGAGCATTTTAGCTAATTCATAACTTGTAACTAAATTTATATATAAATATATTATTATCTCATTAAAATAGATTACCTAATTGTTCCCTATTACTGAGCTCATCAATCACACCAAGGGCAGAAAACTAATAAATATCAAAACCTGGCTTGGACAACTACCATTCCTTCTCTACCTCCTCAAACTCAGAGCCAGCAGGTCTGTGTTAGAGGCTGCGTCTTCTTGGTCCTCTCCAACTGACATACAAGACAAAACCTGCTTGTCTTGTTTTTCGGTTCCATGAAAGAGATGCAAGTTGACGTTTCCTCATTTCCAAGTCATGGACTAACAACATGTTTGCATGTAACATCCCATATGTTACTCAGCGCTGTTCTCATTTCACAGATCACCTTACGTGAATACTTTTATAATAACAGTAACAACAATTTCAATATTGGATGTCTCCTGTTTTGGTCTGACTTGCACTGTTTCCTTGGAGCTAGTTAACAAATAGTCAAATGACCTTCTGGGGACTGTGCAAAATGTGGAATGCTTGCTGAATTTGTGTGCCATCCTTAGGCAGCAGCCATGCTTATCTGCTCTGTGTTGATCCAATCTTAGAATATACGCTGCTGAAACAAGCATAAAGCCCTGTTTTATACATGGATACTCATGAGTCATGGATGAGGCTTAGCTCTGTTAAATCCAAATTACCTAGTTTATATACGATAATTCTATTGAATGACTTCCTGTGAGGTAGAATTTTTAAATATTTTAAAAACTTGGGGTAGAGATGCAAGTAGCCTGAGAGATTTTCGTTGTTATGGAAACATGTTACTTGAGGGGCCAACTGCAAGTTGGTGCCCACTACTCTATTGCAGGATAATGTGGAACCTTCTGCTATCTAACAAAAGCTGCTACACAGGACAGAAAAAAGCCTCAAGGTACAGACGTGATAACAAAAGGGAAAGGGACCTCTGATCTCTTCCTGCCACATTATTTGAATGTCCCTGACTGCTGAAGACAATCCCAACTAACATTTGCTAGAGAAAAGATGAATACAGGTCTCAAAGGATAACTTACCATCAAGGTCTAGGCTAAGCCTAGCTAAGAGGTGGGCAACAAATAAGGTTTTTAGTGTTAGGGGAGGGTCAATTTACTCACTATGTGTGTGGGTAAAGCCAGGAGGCCTCGCTGCCAGAGCAGTGTGCTGGGAACAACGGCTGAGCATATGTACATGAACTAAAAAACACTGTAGCTGTGAGCTTTGTGTGTGAGTCACCACAAAGACTGAAGGGTCTGAATCAGTAAAGGCATCACTGTAGCTGTGAACTCTGTGTGTGAGTCACCACAAAGAGTGAGAGGTCTGAATCAGTAAAGGCATCCTGGTGGCAAAGGTTAGTCATTACCAGATCGCAGGACCAGTTACAATGGCAGCAATACAAGTGAATCAATGGAAACAGAATATTTAGAATGGCCTTTTCCCCCTATCTTCTGACTTGTAAAGCAAGATTGTCTTCCTTGGACTTAGGGAACCCCTTAGCTTTTTGAAAAATTCAAAGGATGAAGGCATAGGAGATAGCCCCAGGGGACAATCCAAGACTTTCTGCTAAACTGGACATTTCAAGACCCAATAACTAATTAGAAAAGTCAGGCCAGGCATGGTGTCTAGCAGTTTGGGAGGCTGAGGCAGGAGAATCAGTTGAGCTCAGGAATGTGGGCAACATAGTGAGACCTTGTCTAAAAAAAAAAGAAAGAAAGAAAGAAAGAAAAACAAGTAAAAATGTGACGTTATTTATATCTCACATATAAGGTTATATATAAGGTTATACTTGGAATAAAATGAACACTGAGATCCCTGGGGATAAAGGTCTTTAAAAGTCCTGAAAGAATCTTGCACTCATTGCTACTTCTAACTAGTCTAGCTTTCTGTGTGATTTCTGGCTAAACAATGGACTAATCACCAACAGCAGGTGCACTTGCCTGGTTCTTCACTAAAAATGCCACCATTTACTGTCTCTTACAAATTACAGCAAGCAAAAGTGGTGTATTTCCCTCCTGTAAGAAAGCAAAAACAATGTGCAATTCACAAAATTACATATTTCTCAATTGAACTAAAAATCTCCTATATGATGCTATGAACTTAAACTTACAATATAGCAAGTAAATGCGGAGCAGTCCCTTCCTTTTCACTCCTCTGTGCTTTCCCACACACTGCCTTGCAAACACCCCTCCTCTCCCTCCCCACGTTAACTTTGATCATCTCCAAAACTGACTTTATTTACCAGTCCTGAAAATCCTTGCTTCTATCACAGCATTTAGCACAATATGTTGTAATTATTTCACTGTTTCCCACTGAAACCAAGAGTTTCTTGAGGGCAAGGGCTGTGTCCTTTTTCTCTACAACCCTAAAACCTAATACATAGTAGCAAATGCTTTAGGTTTTTAAAATAAATTAATGATGAAAATTATTATCTTTAGAGCAGTGTTTCTTAAACTATCTTCCAAGGAATATTTGTTTTACCAGAAGAACTGTACCCCAACAGAAAGATGCCATGATCACCTGCATTTGAGAAGTATTACAAAACTGTATTATATGGTCAACAATCAAGAAATCCCTTCAACTTTGCCTAATTCCAATTTGACAATACTTTTTGTGGCAAACGTTAACATTTTAGGAACTAGAGTTTCAGGGATACAGTTGCCAGAACTTCCCAGTTCAGGTGGAGGTTTCCTCTGGGTGGTACAAACTTGCTTGATTTACTTCTGTAAATGGTGTCAGGATCCAATGTCAATGTCAGGCACTCCTGATCCGAATGGGTCACTAAGGAAATGAGCTCTGAATTAAGAGAGACTGGCTTCAATGCACTTATTTTCATTATTATTAAATAGTCCATGGGATTTCTCCTAATACAAGAGGATAGATTTTTATCTTAACTGTTAGAAAGCTCAGTATATTCTGTGTAAGAGAGACAGGTTAAAAGTGTTTGAAAATAAATATTAAAAAAGCAAAGCTCAGTAAGAAATTTTATTCTCAATTATAATGATAACCCTGGGATGCTAATGCAACTTTACTTTTTAAATCCATTTGTATTGGTTTCCATTCAAATTGCTATTTAACATTTTTTTTTTACTTTAGGCAAAATGTAAATCAGAAATAAAATTACAATGGCTTATCAATAAAAGTTTTAATATTGATGTATATGGCTTATTTCTAGCATAATAAAAGCCAATAAGTCACTTGCATTTTTAAGGGACATTGTTGAGAAGCATGACATAATGTTTGCAATATTCATAAACTAGCCAACTCTCACCAGGAATAACCTAAAAAGGCTTCCAGGCATTCTTATGAGCAGATGACTACTTGTGGTATACATATAAAAAAGAGCTAAAAAAAACTTTTGAATTCTAAACTTGAACCCCATAATTGAGGGATTTATAAACTATAGACTATATATTATAAACCAATATACACTGTCTTGAAAATCTTGAAATCTTTATGAAAATATACTATAAAACAGGAGTTGTAAACTCAAATACTTATAAGGATGAGGAGATGACCTAAGTAAGTGAAGTACTCAGGTGGGCACAGAAGCCAACTGGAGAATCTGTGCCTCCTACACAGGGCAACCTCTGCACAGCAGACCAAGCAGTGATGCGGTTCCGGGGACACCAGATTTGATTCTTAAGACAGGCCTGAGGTCCAGATTTCTGCATGAGTCTACTAAATTTCACATGCTAACTCAACTTAAAGAGGCAAATGAACAAATCTATGTGCCACAGTTAGACTATAGCCCTTGTGTATTTATAGTTTCCATGAATGTGTACTAAATGATTTTGTATAAACCAAGTATTTGCATGTGAAACTTTTTCTGTCTCTAGTATCATGTGTTTTATATAAAAATCAGCCCCTGATATATATATAATAAAAATTGCTGTTAAGACTCATAATACCCACCTGAAGAATTTTCCCAAAATTTATTCATTTGAAATCTGTTTGTATATTATTTTCCCAGATTGTTAACCAAATAGATAATTAGATCATAAGACTGCCGAAACTAACTTATTAAAAGAATTCCTATAGTATTCTCACCGACTTCATGGATTTCAGTGTTTAAAACTGACATCCTGATTGTGCCAAAGCTCTATAAACTTAACAGACATACTGACATAGTCCATAATACAATTTCAACTGAAAAAAAAAAAACGGTTCAGGATTTGCTACTAATCTAATTGAGAAAATTTCACTTGTAATGAACATTTGTTGACACATAATCACTTGAATGGTGACAAAGGAACATGAAATTGTGAAAGGGTCAGGCTTTACCTATTGAAAGATTACCCACAAGCAAATTGCTAAAGGCTCTCTGAATGGCAGTGAATGATTCCTGGTGGGAAGGAAAAGGTGTGTTTCTGTAAGCTGAGATATATTGCCAGCAATATTTCCTTTTACTTTCCAGTCACAAATGTAGAGAAAGATAAGTCAGGCTAACATTATTGGAAAGGAGAACTTTGAAGAAAGTAGCACCTATCAAATGCCAACTCTTTTAGAGATTTCTTATGTTTTTGAGATACGGGAATTTATATACTGCACTTACCTACTCTGTGGTTCTCAATCAGGAGTGTATTCAAACCCTGAGGTGTTTTTTTTTTCTGTTGTTGTTGTAAGAGACAAGAGTCTTACTATGTTTCTCAGGCTGGACTCAAACTCCTAGGCTCAAACAATCCTCCCACCTCAGCCTCCTGAGTAGCTGGGACTACAGAAACAAACCACTGTGTGCGGCTTCAAGAAAATATTTTTAACCATACCTGTTCAGACCTTATTAGCTCAGTTACATCAAAATCTTCAGGGGAAAGCCTACATTTGTACACTTTTAACAAAATTCCCCCAGGTCACTGTAATGCACAATTCTAGCTGAGAATTACTGCAGAGAATTACTACTGCTGAGAATTACTACAATCACTTCACTTTCATCACTCACCCACACCACCAATATCCTTTATCAGCTTGGGATGTGGCCAAAAAGAGAAAAGAGTATGAGATAGAGTTATTTATTAACACTCCAGTTAATTTTCCTGGCTATGGGTAGAACAGGGACAAGTAAACTCGAAATCCCACTTGATTTTGCTATTTATAAGCTCCTTATCTCCTACCTTCCCACCAAGACATTCTAGATTTGAGAGGAGAGTTTGGACTCTTGGCTAAGTGGCTGTTTTTGCCAGGATGGGTAATAAGTCAGTCACTAATTCGTTCGATCATTTGCTGAAGTGTTTCTCACTGCATCACCAGCTATTCACAGCCAATCTGGTTTCCTCAGAGTCCTCTAAAAATTAATCTTTAAGCAAGTTTCAATCACTTTGTTTACCAAACCAAAAATAATTACCCCAAAGCTGAAGAGCACTTTGTCTCAATACATAAACTGGAAAAACAACAAACTAAAAAACAAAACCTCTTATTAGCATTTTTCCTCATTACCTAATTTCCAAGTGACCTACATGTTTTTGATTGCTCTCCTTTTCCTTCCCCATTTTTCCCTCTTAAACTTTGCCACTGAAAGGCACATCAGTTTTTTTTTTTTTTTGAGAAAACTGTCAGCAGCAGCAAGATTTCCATTTATTGCAAGTTGCTTCAGTTTTGTTTTGAGTTTTAAGATAAAGCCTATTTCCAGGGTAAATTCTTTTCCTGTGTCTGCGTGTGTGTGTGTGTGTGTGTGTGTGTGTGTGTGTGTGTGTGTGTGTGTTTTACGTAATTAGAAAAAAAAATACACCTGGGGTAGGAAACAAATACTTGAAGAAGTTTTACCTTAACAAATTCACAAATACTTCCCATAAGTGCACTAAACAAGCTGTGCCCTCTAATGCTTCTTTAAAAGTATCAATATTTAAAGTAAAACCTGAGACAATTAAGCTATTTCAAAATATTTTCATTCAGGAATGCCTGATCATCCAAATATGAAAAATTGACTCTTACCTATGTCAATGTTAAAACAAATATTTTGAAAAGAAAGTTGATTGATCTATACCTTGTTTAGTGCTTCAGTATTTGCATGGTGGGAAAGCAGGCTTCCTGCCAGTGAAGTCCCCTTATCATAGACAGCATCATGAAGAGCAGTGTTGCCGTAGACATCCTCAATGTTTACCATCATGAAGAGCAGTGTTGCTGTAGACGTCCTTAATGTTTGGACTGGTGCCATGTTCCAGCAGAATAATGGAACACGTCTCTTCCTGGCAATATACAGCCTGTCAGTGTTAGATGAAAACTTAGACTATAAATTCTAAGAATTCAAAATACATATTCCACAGGTTTCACCAACTAGTTATATTTAAATGAGATACATTCATTTTAATTCTATGTATTTAGTGAAATCTTTTTCGTGCTGAGAGAGTTGGCTGCTGTATACCTTCATTAAAGGCGTCCTGTTTAGTCTGTCACAGATGTCGATCTGACATTTTCTGCTCAGCAAGAGAGTGACCACTTGCACACGGCCGTGGGCACAGGCCAAATGTAGAACAGTCCTAGGAGAGTGAGAGGGGTTTTCAGGAAATTGTAGTGCAGTATCTCAAAACCTACAATGGTTCATGTCATTGTAAACATTGAAGAGCATTCCTCTGCCTTCAAAACAAATAATTTTCTTTTGAAGAAAGTACATTTATTAGCTCTTACTGCTCACTCCCTTAATGAAACAGCAGCCTATTTGGACAGAATGAGCTTGGTGTTTGGATTCAGTTCAGCTGGGGCTTGAGTTCTACTTTGAACTCAGCCACGTACCAGGTATTGCTTAGCCTTTCTGTGCCTCATTTTCCTCATTAATAAAATAAAGATGACAATAGCAGCTAGTTCACAGGACACCATTGTGATGCTTAAATGGGAATCTATGTAAAGTATTTAGAACCATTTCTAGAACAAGCAACAACTCAATAATTGTTAGATTGTTGGTTTTTTTTTTTTTGAGACAGGGTCTTGCTCTGTTGCCCAGGCTGGAGTGTAATGGTGTATTACATATATTTCATATATTAATGGTGTATTACATATATTTCATATATTAATGGTGTATTACATATATTTCATATATTAATGGTGTATTACATATATTTCATATATTAATGGTGTATTACATATACTTCATATATTAATGGTGTATTACATATATTTCATATATTAATGGTGTATTACATATATTTCATATGTTAATGGTGTATTACATATACTTCATATATTAATGGTGTATTACATATACTTCATATATTAATGGTGTATTACATATATTTCATATATTAATGGTGTATTACATATATTTCATATATTAATGGTGTATTACATATATTTCATATATTAATGGTATATTACATATATTTCATATATTTCCTCACTGCAGCCTGGAACTCCTAGGCTCAAGTGATCCTCCTGCCTCAGCCTCCTGAGTAGCTGGGACCACAAGAGTACACCAGCATGCTCAGCTAATTATAAAAAAAACCTGTAGAAGGAATCTTGCTTTGTTGCCCAGGCTGGTCTCAAACTCCTGGCATCAAGGGAACCTCCCATACTTCTATATCTATTGTCACTTTCAATGGTCACATATTATTCCATCCTATGGATGCAACTGAAACTTATTTATAGGACACATTCTGAGGGTTCTTTTTAACATAAATGCTGAGAAAAACAAAGTACACGTATCTCTATTTTCTAAAGGTATTTTAATACAATGGAATTGATAGGTAAATGGCATATACATTTTTAAAATGTGGTAATTACCACCAAATTATCTATTTGAAAAGTCATCAGCAACTTAAACTTTAGGCAGCAGTGTAAGTACCACTGCTGTTTATTCTCACAAACATTGTGGATAGAAAAGAGTCTCATTCCTCTTTTAACTTAAATTCTTTTACGAGAAACACTAAGGACTTTTTCCTATGTACATAAGTAACTTGTGGATCTGCAGAAAAGTACGTTGCTCACTTTTAGAGTTCTTTTCTTGTGGATTTGATTTGAAAGAATTCCCTATAAAATAAAGATGTGCTTTTTATCTGTATATAAATAACTGATATATATAACATTATGTCACTATTATATACAATTTTTTATATGTATAATCAGTTATATATCATAATATATATAATAAAAAGTAAATTCCCTGTAGGATGAAGATACACTTTTCATCTGAATATCTATTTATATATATATTAGTAAAAACATATACATAGTAAATATTTTTCAAGTATGTTATCGTTTGTTAATTTTTTTCTTATACACAGGGGGGTTTTAATTTTTTTTTTTTTTTTTGAGACAGAGTCTCGCTCTGTCACCCAGGCTGAAGTGCAGTGGCGCGATCTCGGCTCACTGCAACCTCCACCTCCCAGGTTCAAGTGATTCTCCTGCCTCAGCCTCCCGACTAGCTGGGACTACAGGCGCGTGCCACCATGCCAGGTTCATTTTTTGTATTTTTAGTAGAGATGGGGTTTCACTGTGTTAGCCAGGATGGTCTCGATCTCCTGACCTCATGATCCGCCCACCTCAGCCTCTCAAAGTGCTGGGATTACAGGCGTGAGCTACTGCGCCTGGCCTGGGGGTTTTAATTTTTAGTTTGCTAAATCAACCTTCAGAATGCCTGCTTGTGAGGTCATTCTTAGGAAGGCCTTTGGCAATGTAAAATGTACCTGTATAAATAAGCATTTGTGTTTTCTTCTGGTACTTTTCTCATTTTGCATATGTAAAAAATTCAATCTGTATTCCATCAGGAACTCATTTTTGTGACATAAAATTTCATTAGTTTTCTTCAAAGAGCAGGCATTTTATTAACAACTCAACCCTTCCTACTCATCTGAAATGTTACCATTATCAGTCCTTACATCTATATCTTACATATATTTCAGTGTTTCTGGGTTTCCATTCTGTTCCATGTATTTATGTCTTTTCAGCTGATAGTAAATAATTGTGGGAATTAATAGCACATTTTGATATCTAGAGGAGCAAGTCTTTTTTTCACTCCATTATAAAAATTTTTAAATGTCATCACAATATTAAGACAGCAGATGTCGTGCAAAAATGATAAATCCTTGATATTTTCATTCGGTTTATGTAAAACTGATAAACATGGAAAGAGCTCATGTTTTGAGAAAACCGAGTCTTCCCATTCAAGGAACCCGCCTCCCACTTCCAAGTGTCCCTCTAAGAAGCTCCAGTAAAGAACCTGTCTACCTGGGTGGATTCGGATGTAAAACCGACACAGGCTTTTATCTGAGAACTTTCCGCCTACTGAACATGACTCATGGTATTTTTGACATGGGAATGAGTTCTCATTAAGCACCTCCATGACCCCACGTTTTAAACGAGTATATGCTTAACTTTGTGAGTTGAATCACTCAACTTCTCCACCAAGTGCTCCAGGCGGGGAATTGCCAGCGATGGAACGCAGCTGAGGCTCCGTTTGGCTCCGCCGCTCTGAGGGTGCCCAGCGCCCTCCAAGGCCCCCGTCCCAGGGGCTGCGGGGCTGCGGGGAAGCCGGGCCTGGGGACCCCCTCCCACCCCGGCTGAGCCCCCGCTACCTGTCCTGGGCATCCACGTCCCGGCACCTGCGCGCCAGGCGGCGCTCCACCTCCGCGGCGTCGCCCTTGAGGGCCGCCCTGTGGATCTTCCGCAGTTCCGCGTCCCTGGTGTGGTACGCGGGACCCGGGTACTCGTGGTCGATGGAGCCCAGGACCGCCCGGCCCGGGCGTCTCCCGAAGCTGAAGAGCTTCCTCATGGGGCGACTTCTCCTCAGACGCCCACCACCGGCTCCTGAGCCCCCGCGGCTCCTCGTGGCCTTTCCACTAACCCTAACCCCAAACCCGAGATGTAGCTCAGAATCCGCGACCCGGCCGGGTCCACCACAGCCTTCAGCAGCGACACTCGCAGCCTCTGACCTCTCAGCCCGCGAAGCCGTTAGGCGCGCGCCTGCAGCTCAGCGCCCGCGCGGACTCCGGAAGCCGCTCCCAAGCCCGCGCTGCCGGCAGGGGGCGGCTGCGGCTCGGGCGCAGGCGCCGCTGGCTTGCGGGTTCTCCTGGGCTCGCCCGGGACGTCCCGTAGTCGCAGGCGCGCAACCCGCCCGGCCTGAGGGCCCGCCTGGCCGTGACCCCCGCCCCGCTCCTCCTCCGAAGAGAGATCGGGGCCGCTGGCAGGGGCCCTCCGCAGCCACCAGGGATGGGGCTGTGGGGCAGTTCCCGCCCCGGTGCAGCCGCCGCCGGGCAGACCGCCTGGCTTGGCTGCAGCCGCGGCATCTGGCTCCGGTTCTGCGAGGCTGGGAGCTCCAGCGAGCTTGGGAGCTGCCAGGCGGCTGCTGCGAGCAGGCAGAGGGCGCCTGGAGCTTGGGCCCTCAGGCGGCGGAGCATGGCCTGGGCGGCCTCTGGATCGCGAGTGCACCTGGCCTGAGAGCCTGCCAGGCCCTGCCCCCGCTCGGCTCCTCCTCTGCCGGAGCTCCGGACCGCTAGCCAGGGGCCCTCTGCAGCCACCGGGAATGGGGCTGAGGGCGGGTTCCCGCCCCTGTGCAGCCGCCCCAGGGCCGACTGCCTGGCTCGGCCGCAGCCACTGGTACATCTGGCTCCGGTTCTGAGATGTTGGGAGTGCGGGCGGGCTCGGGGGTTGCCTGGAGGCTGCTGCCTGCACACAGAAGGCGGCTGCAGCTTGGGTGCCCAGGCGGGCTGGAGGGGCATGGCCTGGGCGGCCCCGGGATCGCCAGCGCGCCCAACTGAGGGTCCCCAGGACGTACCTCCCGCCCCACTCCTCCACCGCAGGGAGTTCGAGGCCGCTGGCATGGGCACTCGGCATTCACCCCGATGGGGTTGAGCGGCTGGTTCTCAGTTCTCGCCCCTGTGCAGCCGCCGCCGGGCAGAATGCCTGGCTTGGCCGCAGCCCTCGGGACACCTGGCCCTGGTTCTGCGATGCTGGGAGCGCGAGCAGGCTCGGGAGTTACCAGGCAGTTGTTGCCTGCACACAGAGGGCGACTGCAGCTTGGGCGCCCAGGCGGCGGAGCATGGTCTGGGTGGGCTCCAGAACGCGTGCGCGCCAGGCCTGTGGGCCCCCCTGGTGGTGCCACCCGCCCCGCTCTTCCTCTGCCGGAGCCTGGAGCAGCTGGAATGGCCACTCTGCAGTCACTGGGGATGGAGTTAAGTTTTCTTATCCCATGCATGCACACGAAAAGGTAACTATTATGTGAGGTAATTAACATGTTAATTGACTTCATTTTGGTAATCATTTCAGAATGTGCATATATAAACATATCACACTGTCCACCTTGAATATGTGCAATTTTTATTTCTCTATTAAACCTCAGTAAAGCTGAAAAAATTAACAAGATCAAAAGGATAACCCCGCAGTTTTATAGTAGTAGTTGGACACTTCAATACCTCATTTATGGGCAAGGACTTCATGTCTAAAACACCAAAAGCAATGGCAACAAAAGCCAAAATTGACAAATGGGATTAATTAAACTAAAGAGCTTCTGCACAGCAAAAGAAACTACCATCAGAGTGAACAGGCAACCTACAAAATGGAAGAAAATTTTCGCAACCTACTCATCGGACAAAGGGCTAATATTCAGAATCTACAATGAACTCAAACAAATTTACAAGAAAAAAAAAACAACCCCATCAAAAAGTGGGCGAAGGACATGAACAGACACTTCTCAAAAGAAGACATTTATGCAGCCAAAAAACACATGAAAACATGCTTACCATCACTGGCCATCAGAGAAATGCAAATCAAAACCACAATGAGATACCATCTCACACCAGTTAGAATGGCGATCATTAAAAAGTCAGGAAACAACAGGTGCTGGAGAGGATGTGGAGTAATAGGAACACTTTTACACTGTTGGTGGGACTGTAAACTAGTTCAACCCTTGTGGAAGTCAGTGTGGCGATTCCTCAGGGATCTAGAACTAGAAATACCATTTGACCCAGCCATCCCATTACTGGGTATATACCCAAAGGACTATAAATCATGCTGCTATAAAGACACATGCACACGTATGTTTATTGCAGCACTATTCACAATAGCAAAGACTTGGAAGCAACCCAAATGTCCAACGATGATAGACTGGATTAAGAAAATGTGGCACATATACACCATGGAATGCTATGCAGCCATAAAAAATGATGAGTTCATGTCCTTTGTAGGACATGGATGAAATTGGAAATCATCATTCTCAGTAAACTATTGCAAGAACAAAAAACCAAACACCACATATTCTCACTCATAGGTGGGAATTGAACAATGAGAACACATGGACACAGGAAGGGGAATATCACACTCTGGAGACTGTGGTGGGGTGGGGGGAGGGGGGAGGGATAGCATTAGGAGATATACCTAATGCTAAATGACGAGTTAATGGGTGCAGCACACCAGCATGACACATGTATACATATGTAACTAACCTGCACATTGTGCACATGTACCCTAAAACTTAAAGTATAATAATAATAAAATAAATTAAAAAATTAATGGATAGAAAAACCAGATAGAAGCTTGATGAGAAATGGAAGACCTGAACAACAGTATAAGCCATTTAGAGCTAATACACATATGGAGAACAGTCCACCCAACAACAGCAGAATACACATTCTTTTCAAGCGGATATGGAACTTTCTCTAGGATAGGCCATATCTTCGTCCACAAAATATGTCCTAATCATTTTTAAAACCTTGAAATAATACAAAATATAATTTACAATCACAATGGAAGAAACAACAGATACATAAAAAATGAAAACTGGAAAATTCACAAATATGTGGGAATTACAGAATACACTCTTAAACTAACAGTGAGTGAAGGAATAAATCACAAGCAAAATTATAAAACATCTTGAGACAAATTAAAATAAAAACAAAACATACCAAAACTTATTGCATACAGTGAAAGTAGAATTCAAAGGAAAATGTATGGCTATAAACAACTACATTTAAGAAAAAATCTCAAATCAGTAACTTCACTCTATACCTACGGGCAGTAGAAAAAACAAAAAAAGACTAAATCCAAAGCTGGAAGAACGAAAGAAATAATAAAGATTAGAGCATAAATAAATAAAATAGAAGGTTGAAAAGCAGTGGAAGAAATAAACATAGCTAGAAGTTGATTCTTTGAAAGATCAAACCTTTCACTATATTTACTGAGCAAAAGATGGAAGACTCAGTATTAAAATCATAAATGAAAGTGGCACCATTACTACCAACTTTACAGAAATAAAAAAGGATTATAGGACTATACTGTGAACAACTGTATAACAACAAATTAGGTGCCCTGGATGAAATGGATGAATTGCTAGAAAGACACAAACTACCAAAATGGCTCAAGAAGAAAGAGAAAATCTGAATAGACAAGGAGATTGAATTAGTAATCGAAAGCGATATAACAAAGAAAGATTTATGACCAAATAGCTTCATTAACTGGTGAGTCTACCTAACATTTGAAGAATTAACACCATTTCTTCCCAAACTTTTCCGACAAAATGTGTGAAGAAGGAATACTTGCTAATTCACTTTTTGATAACAGCATTATCCTGATACCAAAGCCGAGATCGCGCCATTGCACTCCAGTCTGGGCAACAAGAGCGAAACTCCGTCTCAAAAAAAAAAAAAAAAAAAAAAAAAAAAAATCAGTGTAATATACTATAATAGTAAAATGAATAAGCACATGATTATTTCAGTTGATGCAGAAAAAACATTGATGAAATACAACACCCGTTTATGATAAAAATACTCAATAAACTAGGCATAGAAAGGAACTTCTGCAATATGACACTAGGATATATAAAAAA